>NC_000007.14:114931021-115234051 GCF_000001405.40 Homo sapiens | reverse complement strand
TCAACAGAATAATCAATTACTCCTGTGGCTAATTCCCTCCATGCCCTCTCCACAGAAAGTAGAGACAAAAGGAAGGTGATATTTAATTCACAGCAGAAAGAAAACCCATTTAATAAGATTAACTGGCATCTCCCTTTCATCCTCTTCCCCTTATCCTCTCAACAATCCCCTGAGCGCCCCCAACACACACAACACACATACACACACCGGAAGTGACAGGGTTTGACAATTATGCTGAATACAAGAGCTAATTTTTTGTTGCTGTTGAGACAGAGTTTCGCTCTTTTTGCCCAGGCTAGAGTGCAATGGCACCATCTTGGCTCACCGCAACCTCCGCCTCCTGGGTTCAAGTGATTGATTCTCCTGCCTCAGCCCCCTGAGTAGCTGGGATTACAGGCAGGTGCCACCACGCACAGCTAATTTTGTATTTTTAGCAGAAACAAGGTTTCTCCATGTTGGTCAGGCAGGTCTTGAACTCCTGACCTCAGGTGATACACCTGCCTTGGCCTCCCAAAGTGCTGGGATTATAGGCATGAGCCACCATGCCCGTCCTACAGGAGATAATTTTTAAATGAACTGATCAGTTTGACTGAAAAGGACTGTGATCCACAATGCTTCAGTCCTCAGGGAGGAAGGACAGTTTTGACAGATGCAAATGTCACCAATAAGATTAAAGCAAAAACAATGTGGTCCCTTCACCAACTGCTCCATCCTGTTTCTACCTGGACAGTGGAGATGCTGTACGGTCAGCTAATGAGGCACTTTTTGCAGGTAGAATTGTTCAAGTTGCCCTTCTGAAAGGTCAGTGCTAGGTAGCAGTAAGTAGTCCCTGGCTTTCTCCTTTAGTCACATTTAAATTTTACTTGGCTCATAGCATGCAAGTAATAACTCTAGTCTTTATATTTACATAACATCCTTGTAAATAATGAAAATCAGCATGCAATACTCTCAGGTGAACCATGTTTTTAAATAAATGAAAATTGAAAATAGATTTCATTTCTCACTCAAATGATTGCTGTAGTCTAGTACCTTATTATATCACCAGCATTATTGGAGCCAGAGGGGTATTATCTAGTGTAAAAATTTCAAGCTCACAATCAAGAAATTTGTGTTCTATTCCTACACCAGGCAGCAAAGACGACAACACTATGGGACATTTACTGAAAGACACTATTCTAAGTACTTCACATGTATTATATAATGTGCACAAAATCCCTGTGAGCTAATTCATTTTATTATTTCCATTTTACATAGGAAGTAACTGGGACACAGAGCAGGTAAACAACCCACCCAAAATCATGCATTGCTGAGTAGCAGAACTCAGGATTCAATTAGGACACTCTGACTCCATCACTTCCCATACACAGAAGCTGAGGTGACTTTTAAAATATATGTGTAGCGTAAACAACAACCAACCAGAATAGATGCTAGTCTTGGCTCAGGAATAGAGCCCAAGAAAAAACTCGTGCAAAGATATTAACAATTTCTGAAGTAAGGAGAAGAAGCGACAATCCCCGTGTGGGACCAGAGCAGCAGGAAAAGACAGACAGACATTTGGCAGGGTCTGCAGCAACAGCTACCTACTAATCTATACAGAAATTTCTCAGTATTTCAATAAGAAATACAGCCATATTGGTGACACAAAGTGAATATCAACCCTATGATATGTGCACCCCAAATTAATTTACCAACACAGATTCCAATAAGAACCTAGCAACAAATAGAAATAACAGTCATATTCAGGCAATTCCTTTTAGTTTCACTGACTGCCTCTTTTTGGCCTCAAGCACATGGGAATGTGTTCATTTGCAACGTCAAAGTTGTTATCATCTTAAGAAGGTGACTGATCATATGTGAAACACAAGATGGTATGTCAGGATCTGAATTCGTTCTAATACCTTTTAAAAAAAAGTATATAGCTGGAGAATATATTACGTGAACCCTATTTAGAAAATTCCAAGATCTTTTAAAAATATCTGAACTTTGATAAAATCACAAAGGAATAAAAGACATGCTCAGGAATGACTCATAGTAGCACAAAAGATATTTAGCTATATAAGAAAGTTTCATGTTTGAAGAATATTCACTTCTTTCCACTGATCAATGGAGAAAAATGTGCATTCATTTGCTGAGAGCAGAATATGCCCCCAAACAGCAAACCAGGTTTTATATAAGTCACTTTTCATGTTAGCTAAGATTGTGTCAATCATTTAATGGGTTTTAGCTTAGGGATAAATTTTAAGCTGTTATTTTTCTGGTGAAGCCAGCAATAGGAAAATGTATGCTGAGGGAAGGAAAGAAACTGGAAAATTCAGCTAACTTAATAGAAATCTAACATTTGCTATTGCGTTGAATAATTACGTTTTTCAGATCCCTTTGAAGATGAAAGGTTTTGTATTAAACTTTTTTATTACCAGGCTATCATGAAAAAACAAATCCCTACAATGTCTGTGCATTTCTTGTTTTAAAATACGCAAGTGATCTGTTGCCTATCTTTATAACAGTGGTTTCTGTTCCAAAGAGCCTTAATCTGGAAAATATATGACATAAACTTAAACAACTGAGAATATTTAAAAATGAGCTATTCAAAAAAACATGCTATTGATACTGTTAGACGTTATGGTAGTTTGTCCACTTAACAAAGAGAAAGGCAGTGTTATGTTGGGTATAGCTATGGTAACTTAGGCAGATGACTCACTCAAAGCCTTTGTTACACTATTTATGACTCACACTTAGTAATGCTCACCCAATTACCTTTCCTAGTATATCTTCATCTTGTTAAAGTGTATGAGAACTGCTTTGGAGAGTCTAATAAGTCCAAATGAGCATTAAAAAGGAGAGAGAGTAGGAGAAGTATCTCTTGAGAAAGGTGAGTCCTTCCTATAAACTCTGGGTTTTATTATGGGCTTGCAAGCAGTACTAGAATCTGGTGTAACACATGATGACCAGATCTACTTTGTATTCAGGGAAGTCAATGAGTTCTCTAAGTGGCATGAAGCTAAGTACACCCACATAGTTTCTGAGTACATCAGTTCTTCAGTGTACATTAAGCCTTTCCAGATTTATCCACAGAGGTTGGCTGTTTGCCAGAATTCAGATTCTGTTCTGTTGTGCAGTGGGCTGAGTATTCCCAGGTGCCAGCAGAGTTTTATGCCTAGTCCTTATTTACAGTTTTTCTTAGAATTGCTTTGAAGTGTGAACAATCAAGTTGCAGCATGCTGTAAAGTTCTTTCCACATGAGCCCTTTATTTCATTTTCTGTTACAGCTCTGAAGCCTTCTCAAAACAGAAGTATTTATCTACAACTATTAAAATGCATTTGGGATGATAAATTCCTTATAAATACTTTTACATAATTTTATTCTCTTTATGAATAAGACAAAAATATAAACAGCCAATTGTATTCTTTCTCTACTACTTCTCCTCAAAAGGAGTAGTATTTAGCAAGGTGTTTGACTATTAATTATTAAAATGTATAAAATATTCTGTGGCTTAATAATACCTACAAGATGGGGCTTGCAAACACCTTGTGTATAATCACAATTGCGTATTATTTGGAATTCCTAACAAAGCTTCTAATACTGATATGATAACTAATTTGTAGCACTAAATATCACCTTTTTGGAAAGGAAGTACCTATAATAGCCTGCACACAAACCATGCCTAACATCCTTTTTCCTAACCACTATCATTTTCAGATATTCCAAACTAAATGCAGATTTTTTGTTTCCAAGCTCTATATTACCTTAAGATCAAAAGCTCTGACTTGAATTGTGTGCAAGGAGGCCAAAAAGCAGCCCAGTTCCCCAGTACTCTTTCCAAACACCACTCGGAGGTGACCAAAGGCTCAGCATCTGTGGACAGCCATTTGGAAAGCCTAGTGGGGTGAAACAGATAGCCCCAGCAAAAAAAATGGAAATAAGGGGCTCCCCTAGAAGCCGGGTAATGAATAAATTTTTCAAATTTATAAAGAACTTGGCATTTCCATTTAAAAGATGCTTTATGCTAGATACATTTTATCTTTTTTAACCCTGGATTTTGTGCTTGTTTGCCAAAAAATCACAGTCTACGTTGTGAGAATAGTACTCAAAAATAGAAGTGGTCTAGTAAGTGGTGGAGACCAGTGAGTTGCATAACCACATCAAAGGGTTGCACCTCTGTGTTATGCTCTTCCAATTTGCAGCTCTAACAAACTTTGATTTATGGTGCCAAGAGGGCCCTGTGTGGATGACTTCTGCTCCTTTCAGAACTTTTAATCTTTATTTTTAAATGTCACAATTCTAAATGATTTTTTCGGAGTTAGCCCCAGATAAATGATTCCTGGGAAGACCGCGGCGATGATCCTGAGCCCACTTGCACTTGTGGTTGATGGCACATTAAGCAATAATGCTGATAACGTGCTGCAATCAGTACCTATAGCATTTTCACCTGACCTCAAAATGAGGTTAATGCAGAAGACAAATAGAAGGGAAGCACATGCCCCATTTTTTCATCAGGCTGTTACATAAATAACAGATAAACATGCTTCTGTTCAAACCACATCAGAGCGGAAGAAAATGCTGCCAACTTCAAGCCGTCAAAGACTTAAAAATGCTGTTGTCAAATCAATTTTTTACAGCAGACTGACCTGTTTGCAGACCATTTTTAATAGCAGAAGAGTTTAGGACTTGGGCTTGGAGTACGCAAGTGATTTCCAAATGACATTTGAGATGTAAAATTTCAGTCTGCCAGCCTTTCCCTCTCTCGCGCCCCATCCACCCCCACATCCATACACATGCACACACGCCCCATCAACTTCCACTGACATTTCTTCATTACCATGAAAAGGCTCGGGCAGTCTTGGGGGATTTTGCAAAGCATCATTCCTCTTTTATACCCAGGCTCTCACTGATAAGTCTACAAATGGTTTTCAAAATTTTATGCCCCAACAGGAGGTAGGGTTTGAGTTTTTAAAGTTGTAGAGATAGTGGCTTCTAAGTTTATCCCTTTGACTTCTCTGGCCATTATTACCCACCCAGTGTGTCCCCATCTCAGGAGCTAAAATGCCAAGTGACCTTTTTGGGTGAATGGTTACAAAAACTCATGGGTACATTTAATAGGAAGAAATGTGGGCTCAATAACATGGTGTGAGAAGATTGTCAGGAGTGTGTTCTTTTTTTTTTTTTCTTAACCCAAACACAGCCTCTGTAGATTTTTTTGAATGTTCAAGTTACACCTTCCTCTTCAAATGATAAAAGAATTCAGTGTGAAATTTGCTTTCATAAACTTTTGTGAAAGGTTCTGTCGTTCTCATATAATACTTCAGGAGTATATATAGAGAACACATTCAGCTGTCTCCCTTGATGCCTTAATGATCGAATCAGAGGAAAGGGCTGTATGGGTTTCGTTCTTATTTCTTACTCAATTCTCTCCTCTGTACCATATGAACTTGGATTATATGGACATCACCTTCTTCACTAAAAATAAAAGCATGGAGTTATTTTTATTATAAAATTTAGTACCATGGCAGCCAGTGAAAGTGTAGCCCACAGAAATTTGCCATTAGAAAATCAGGAATCTTATAAAATGAGAACACTATACTGAGGAGTTCAAGTGGCAAATAGGGATGGTGTTTGTTCAGTTCAATATCCAAATCTATTAGGATGTGGGATAAGCACTTTGCTGAAAATATTTTTAAATACTTTCAAGATATGACAGGCCAGGTCAGAATCATATGGCATACAAAGAAAACCCTAGGTTAGCCTAAAGCTGCCTCCTTTCATATTTTAAGTTCAGCCTAAAAGTTTCTCCATATGTAGTGAACTGATACCTAACTGGATATGTAAACCAACTAACCAATTCTTGTGTCAATCTCTGAATTTTGGCCAATTAAAGGTGACCAACTGTTCAAACCATGTTCAAATAAGGCAAATACTGAGCTGTAACCAATCCACTGTTTCTGTACCTCAGTTCCATTTTCTGTGCATCGATTTCCTATTTCTGTCCATAAATCTTTAACCCTGTGGCTGCACTGGAGTCTCTCTGAGCCTACTCTGGCTCGGGAGGCTGTCCGATTTGTGAGTCATTCTTTGCTCAATTAAACTCTGTTCAATTTAAGGTTTTCCTTTTAACATCATATCGTGACAATATCAGCATTTCCATTAAAAGACCTTTTTCCCCTTGTAGGATGTATTAATGTCTAGTAAAAAATGGAGATATACAAAAGTTAGCACATAGTCTTGCAACTATATTTATTGCTGAAAAGTTATCTTGGCTGTTTTTAAATGATAGTATTTCAACCATACAAAAAGTTTTTTTTTTTCTACTTTATTTTTTATTTCTGGCCTCATATGACTCAAGAACAGCTTCATTTTCAACCATTAGCCCATGATGTTGGCTGCTGCGTTTAGGCAGTTTGGGGATAAAAATAAAATGACCAAGTTATTTTGTTTGGAAAGGCAGCTTCTGCACATTTGCTGTATTTTTTTTCAATAAATATTTCATAACTCTTTTTAAAACATGGCCTTATCCTTTAGCACATATGGGAGGCAGCTAAATCTAAATCAAGTAGATGTTCTAGAGCTCAGATTCCATCACTCAGGACCCAAATCTACTTTTCTGAACTAGCTCAATACAGAGATAGGCATGATAATCCCCTTAATATCAGAAATTACTAATAGACATTTTACATTTTAAAACATTAAATTATTGTGTATTCTATATATCATGCTTCAGGGAAGGGCTGAAATGCCTCTGTTTTGCTGGCTGGGATATGTCTCTCAGTTTCCATTCCACTAAGCCATACTTCCAAATTATTGGGCCAGTCCATCCACCTGGCAGTAAAACACGTCATTCTTGTCTTTCTAGATTGAGCCAACCTAGGAAGATAGGGGCCATGTACGAAAGAATTTTTTAAAAAAGAAAAAAAAGTGTGTGTTTGTGTGTGTGCGCGCATATATAAAAAGAGAGAGATAAAGCAAATATAGTAAAATGTTAAATTTTAGTGTTTCTGACTAAAGAGTACACAGTGATTATTTGCAATATTCTTGCAATATTTCTGTAAACTTGAAATTGTTCCAAAATAAACATTAAAAATATAAAAAAAAATAAAGAATGAGAATCAAAGCTCCAATGATAATAAAATATGCTTTCTGAAAGTATCAAATAAAAATTGCAACAGCCAGAATTAAACAAAGAAAGAAGGCTTTACTCAAGATTGTTGCAATAGGGGTCAAGAATATTGCAACTGAAGAGACTAAACTCAACTCCATTGAAACAAGATGGGAAGGTTTTTAAGCATTGAAGCCAGGTCTTAGGAAAGTACCTTGGGGGAATTGAGGGGAGGTTTGTCAATGTGATTAGGCCATTTGAGTTTGCTAACTGGCAATTATCACTTAGGAAAGTTAGCTTCCTGCCCTCTTACAGAGAATGGGGGTAGGGACCTTATCTTTCCTGATGATTCCATTTCAAAGGGATGGCTCCCAGGTCTTTGAGAAAGACGTTCCTAGGTAGTAAAACTGGCAAGAGGCTGAGAGAAGATTTACATCTCAAAGGGACAGAGAAGGAATTTGCAACTACAAGCTTTCTAAAGTAAATACTCTAAGAAAAGGGTGATCAGGGGCTTATAGGCAGGAAGAAATTTGTCTGAAGTGTAGTCAAGCTGGGGGGAATGTTAAGGCCTTCTTGGGCTTAACAGAAGTCAAATGTATTTCCCTGTTTTGCAAAGATGATAATAAGTTTGTCAAAAGCCATACTAATCTTAAGGGAAGAAAATCAAAGATTCAGTAGCCAATCTTAAAAGATTTTCAAGTTTCTATCCATTTGTATTACTATGTCCCTCAAACCCACAAGTTCCCTTCCTTTCTCTAGCGGGCTTAGATGTAGAGGAGAAAGGCGAACACAAGGAGTACTTTGAGTTTCTGCTGTAACACTTGTTTATTTCAAATGGCAATTTCTGCTTCTGTCTCTGGCAATCCCACCCTGTATGATGCTGACCTCACCTGTGCTAACACACAGGCGATTATAGCTTTCTTTATCATTCTTCAGCAAAGACAATCAAGTGCTTTTGGTTTATATCCTCTCCCCAGGGACCTGACACAAAGACACTCCGCAGAGCCTGAGCCAAGAAAATATTTGGGAGTCAGCACACTTAAAACTGTACATCTCTCAAGAGACACTTCGAACTAATATCCCTGAAAATCCATCAGCAGCCTTCCACTCTATCACCTCTAAATCTGAGGTCTCTGTTCCCTTTTTTTAATGCACTATCCAACTGCTAACAATTTTACTCGATCTACTAGCTCTACCAACACCTCTATTAAAAAGCATCAAGTACCTTCAGCGACCTCACAACTACAGAGTTTTTGTTTTGATATTGTCACCCTTAGCCTTTGGACAGAATTCACCACCTGTTTAGCAACCAGCTCTTCTTTGAGGCTTTTTCTCCCCCTTGGAGCCTATGATAATGTGCTTTTCTGGTTCTCTTCCTGCTTCCCTATTTTTTTCTTTTTGATGTCTGTCATGGACCCTACTTTCTAGATTTATGCCCTAAAGGTAGGAATACTCCAAGGATCTGTCTTCACCTTCTTCTGGTCTTGATCTACACCTTGTTGTTGGGTTAGTTCGTCCACTTCCGTAGTTTCAACTACAACCTTTCTGCTGATGACTGTAACTACCATTTTCATGCTGATGATTGAAACTACCACTTTTATGGTGTTGCAAGTCAAACTGTCTTCAGTTTCTGTCTTTCTCCCTCAGCTCTAAACACTCTAGCTGTCTCTTAGACAAAGAGAACCTAAAATTCTGCTAACACTTCAAACTGAACATATACAAAACCCAATTAGACCATTTTCACCCCTCCACGCCTGCCTCTCACCTCATATTCTCCAGTCTACATGTAACATTCTATTCAAGTTTCTCTGATACTTGATAGGGCTGCACCTGTCTTTCTACTTTCGCTCCGGGTGAACTGCTCCAGCCCTGCCAGATGATCGCCCACGCTCCAATCGTACTGTGCTCTTTCCTTTCACACTCTTGATGTTTGTTCCATGCTGAGCACTTACACCCAGGGGTTGAAATGCCACATTATATTCCTGGTCCAGGGATGTAAGCTGCTTCCCAATTTCTCTGATTATAATTAATATCTATTCAGCACAACATTGCTTCTATCCTTTATAACACAACATTTTTCTTTGTTTTTTTTTTATATACATGGCTATCTCTTTCATCAAATGAAAAATTTCTTGATAGCAGAGTCTACATCCTACTCTTGTTTTTATCCTTACAATTGTCTTTCACAGAGTGGGTCTTCAGGGCATGTGTGTTAAATGAAATAGAGCATTTTCCATAGGCAATTTGAATCTGTTCTGAATCCCTCATGAAGGTCTAAATAAATAGGCTGTAGATACTAGAGAGGTGAAAATTAAACAGATCCACCAGATCTCTTGATTGGGTGGGGTTTGGGGACTGATAACTGTGTATCAGTACATTTTCTGATATTTTGAACTGCTCTTATTCTGCTGACAATAGCAACTTAGTATTTTGTTTCACGTCATAAACCTCTAAGAGAGAGGAGGTGAGAAAAGCACTCTGCAATCTCTCCTGGTCAAAGGAAAATGCCCAGCTATCCTAAGATTAGTTTTCGAAGCCCATTTAAAAGATGTAGCCAATGTAACCAAAATGTATTCATAAATGCTTTACCCAGTTGGCTCTAAGTAGATACAACTCATGGGAAGGGCTGCCCTCTCTTTTCAAGTGGAAATATGTGGCAGAGAAGAAAATTAGCAAAGTAATGTCACAGAAGTATCTCCTCTCAAATATGAGCAAACATGACCAATGTTCAAGGTAGTTTTGGAAGGCTTATTCCAGCCTGGCTGGATCACACAGGAGTGACATCATCACCCACTGGAAAACAGGGGACGAATTACCATGGAATATCATAATCTGAAGTGGCTCACAAAAGCTCTGCCATTGCCAGTGCAGGAAACTTGTCTCAAATATAGCACACTTTAGGAGCCACAGATTTTCCTTCCTTTTGGGAAAAATGTAGATATAAGTACTGGTTAATCTTAGAAGCTGATAATTATAATTCTTGCCCAAGTAAAAGTGCAGTACTAAACCAAATAATACTCTTCCTAAAGAAACAGGATGTAGTTAATAATAGCTTCTTTTTATTGAACACCCACCATGGGCCAGATGCTTTATCTGCATTTGTGTTTATTTTTACAATAGCCCAGCAAAGTAAGTATAATTATCTCCATTTTAGTTTTGTGGGAACTGAGGCTTACAGAGCAAAATAATGGGTAGACAATAAATTTGAACTTGAACTCAGGTTTTCCTGACTCCAGATTTTATGCCTGTTCAAATCTATTTTGCTGTCATAATAGAAATGCATCAAGGTACTGAGGGATTATTTTCAAGATAAGATGTGAACCCGCTGCTGTCACTTAAAGCTCTCCAATTCTTATAGATGTAAAATGGAGATACATCCAAAAAAGGTTTAGAAAAAATAATGCAGTGGAAAGTATCAAAGATAGGACAACCGCATTGTTCTTCTTGGACTTTGTAAGATACCAATGCTGGTTAGGATGAACTCAGGACAAGTCCAGCCTATGAGAGCCAGAAACAATGATCGAGTTATCTACTTAACATTGTTTCTCCTCTCTGAAAACCTGGAGATGTCAATGCTATAGTAAGCCTGCCTAGGCCTATCCTATTTCTAATTGACACTGACAGAGGTAATAAATTTTAACCTTTTCTGTGTATCTCAGGCAGCCCCTGGCCCCTTGAAAGCAACATGTGATTGACTTTTGGAATGCTATGCAAAGAAAGGTCTGAAAAGAATACGCTGCTTCCTTAACCAGTCCCCTTATCCTTCAAGAGTTTGTAAAACTACTAGATTACAGTTTGTCTAATGTGTGGCCACCAGGTGTGACAAGTATTTTTCATAGCCCCTCCTTCCTGGGTGACCATTTTTTCCTTATGACTCCCTCTCTGCATGAGAGATCATCCCTGTGGCTCTTGCCATCCTTTCCATTGACTTGACCTTCTTTCAAGATCTCCTGTGATCATCTATAATGCTCTGATTCATGATCCACATTCTCACCTGGAAATTAAAACTTGACAACTTTTAGAATTATTTTTTGCAGATAAACTAACTTGACTTACCACAGATCAGACACCCCAAATATTGAAATTAGCTTATTCTGGAGTTGAGTTTGCCCAACTTCACATATACTTATGACACTGGAAGGTCAAAAATTGATCTCTCCTATTCAAGTCCTATAAAAAATAATTGTCTACCACCTAAGTTAATTTCAAGTTTTTTTGGCCCAGGCTCTTTCTCTGTCTTCATCCCTCATATACTATAGCACAGTTTCCTTGGGATATAAATTAATATATTTTATATATATTTAATGATTTTCATTTATCAAAAATTATTTTCTGGTATGTTTTAATCACTACCAGCATTCATTTTATTTTTCAGTTTTTATAAACCCATGCAAAAATTCTTTAAAAAGAACTTAGATTTTACAACCTCTGAAATAATTCATTATCAATTGGACAAGAATTTGAAAACAAGTGAATTAGGATCTGTATTCTAAATTTCTCAAACTTTTTTTTTTTGGTTTGGCTAATTAAAAATTTCATAAAAGCTATATGATAACTTGTGGCTTGGATTAAAATGATTAATCAGTCCCCTAGTATTGCAGGAATTACAAATTTTTCTTTGGAAAAGCATAAAACATTCTTAGAAAAGAAAAAGCATAGAATACAAGGAAAACAATAATCAAAATGTTTGCATGGATTAATAATGCTTTTAAATTAGGAAGACAGGACAGGGTGGGGAGAGCTTCCAACATCGTTTCACTGAATTAAAACTAAAATATTTATAGTTATAGAAGCAGTGACATCAGTTTATCTGGATTTCTAACTAAATTTCAGAAAGCGCCAAAAAGGCAAATAGGTGTCCAGTAGTGAAGAGTTCCTTAAATCAGTTCTTAGATCAGATGCACTGGATCACCATCCAAATTTGTTAAAACTTGTGAGAGCTCACAGTTTATAAAGTGTTTTTCACAGTGCCTACAGAACATGAGGCAACAATAAATCCTGTTCACATCTCTCTTATCCTTCATACTTCCTGCTGTGCATGAGTGTGTGTGTGTGTGTGTGTGTGTGTCTGTGTGTGTCAGGGGAGTGGGCATTTCTCACTACCCCAGTATGTGGAGAGCCTTTCTTTAGTTTCTTGCTTTTGTTTTGTTTAGTTTGCCCTAGAAATTAAGTTTCCACATTAATATTGTACAGTTTCCACTGGCAATAAAACTCTCCTTCAAGGAATAAGCATCCTTTGGGAGTGTGGAAGCTACAGAACATAGATCAACAATCATGCACACACAAAACACCCTCAGAAATGATGTAACTTTAAGGAAATATTGTAAATAGAAAGATATGACTTCATTAAAGAATCCTGGAAGTACTCATTTTTCAGGAATTTAGCTCTCCATAATTCTTTTATTTCTTTCACAAATTGGATAATTAATGTGAGTTAGTCAAAATCCTCTATGGTTACAATCTCTGTGATTCTTTAATATTATAACTCTATGGGCTCATTTCTCATTTTCCTCCATACCTCATTTAAGGCTTGAAGTCAGTGGGAATTACCTCAGGCAAGATGAATTAGAGACTATCTGCCTAATCACTTAAGGCAGACTGTCAATTTTTAGAAATTATTAAATACATCTATACCGTCATATGAAAATGTGAGTTTTCATGAAAACCCACATTCTTATATTTCTAATACAGATAAGAAAATTCTTTTTAAAAACTTAAAGCCTCATAGGATCATAGAATTTTGAAACTAAGAGTTTTACAAATTATTTATTTATTACTCATTTATACAAAAAAAATGTCATGGGAACTTTATGGGCCAAAAACATAACCTCTTTGTCAAGTTTTTTAAACTTTCCAGGCCTCAGTTTCTCGGTTGGTTGGATGAGAAAGGTGAAAAGGAGACATCTCATGCAACTCCAAGCTGTAATAATCCACAGTTCTGGGCTGGTAACTTGTCAAAAGTAACCTAGCTAATTAGTGGCACAGCCAAGGCTACACTCCAGAAGCTAGAATTTCCTGGTCACTCCTCTCCTGTCCTTTGCACTGTAATACACTAAGCTTCTAAGTTAAAAAGAATAATAATTTTTTAATTCTAAAAATGCTGTCCTATGTCTATAAAAGGTCATGTCCAGCTCTGTAACTTAGCTTGAATAGTTACATATGAGCTCTAATAATTAAATGGCAAACATTGCATATTATGTCTAAAAATTCAAAAGCTAAACTAATACTAGGTT
This sequence comes from Homo sapiens, assembly GCF_000001405.40. Lineage (NCBI taxonomy): Eukaryota > Metazoa > Chordata > Mammalia > Primates > Hominidae > Homo > Homo sapiens. Next base: position 115,220,730 of record NC_000007.14, on the reverse strand, counting down.
AAGCTATGTACAATTCATATTTTCTTTCCTTATTTGTTTTACAAATGGCATTTGGATATCACTTATAAATCCCAACCCTTCAAGTACAAATCTAGTAGAGTTTGAGGCTTATAAACATCTCAGGGTGCTTCTGGGCTCAGGTCAGGGAGCACTTTGCAGGCCAGCATATTGAAGCCTTCCTTTATATTGTTACCAAATTGAAAGCTTGCTGGTGAACATGAGACACAACCCTTGAAAGAGGAAACTCTCTTCAATGCAGCTTGAGCCATATGCCATCCAGTTGTCTTACGGGCAGTAGTGGGTCCCCTTTTTTCCAAGTGTGTAGAGAAGAGCATCGTGTCTTTTGTGGCACCAGCTTGCCAGGCCCAGAGCATTCTCCTTCAAGTGCCTCATTCAGTCTCCAAGTTGGCTGAATAAGGCATTTTACTGATGTTAACAGAGGGACAGACACATATGGAGACAGTCAGCTGTCCAATCACTGCATTCTAAGAATAATTCTTTCTATCAGTGTCATCCTATTCAATACAAATACCTCTCAAACTCATGATAGACTTACATATATGGTAGTGTAGCATAGTGGTTAGGGTTTAGCCTCTGGGGGTGGACCACCTCCACTTAAATCCTGAATCTGCCACTAGTTGAGTGTCCTTGGAAGCAAATTGCATGACCTGGGAAATCCATTTCTGCATATGCAAAATTGTGATACTAGAATCCACCTCACAGGGCTGTTGTAAAGATTAAAGGATTTAGTTTTTGTAGGCTGTTTAGAACAGGTTTTGTTAGTTTTTATCATTAATGTTTTCTATATTGAATATTTTTCTATTGTTCCAGTTACCAGTGCTGTCATCCTCACACACTCTCACATCTAAAACTTAACATGTCTTCGCAGTTCCACCTCAACAATATCTTGTTAATGCAGCCCTTTCTTTATACTCCAGCTGTCTTGTATAGTTCTTACTGTCTGTATTACTCTGGTGGAATTTATTGTATACTATACTCCTTTGTATTGCTCACTGCTCATTCTTTTCTTTCATGTTTTCATTTTTGGGTTTCCCGTTGAGATCTTTTCTTACTCTTCTTTGTATTCTTTTCTGCACTTTAGTATTGATAACGTGTGGTACATAATAATATGTAATCAATATTTATTAACCAGAGTTCTGTTTCTTTTATTTATTCAAAATTCAAAATAGGTACATTATTAGTACCTACTACATAATAGACATCAGGTAAAGTAACTGCAATACACTATGAAAAAAACTACAATAAAATCATGAGGAATTATATTGGCAGAAAGGAAGCAGCAATAACTCTGCTTGCAAGAGCCAGAAAAAGCATTGCAAGGTATATTCTTCAATGGGATATTGAAGGATAACTAGGAGGTTTCCAGATTTATGGAGAGTAGTAGGATAAACAAAGAGAAAGAAATATGCTTATTGGCTTAGAGCTGTGAACTAGTATGGGGGAACTTAGAGGAATCACCAGGCAATGGAAGAAATGATGCTGGATAAGTAATGATAATAAGTTAATCTTAATTGAGCACTTCCTAAGTTTTCAAGCACTCTGTGTGCATTATTTCTGATGCTCACAGTGGCCCTAAATAATATACTAACCCAGTTTTACAGATGAATGAAGTGAAGCTCAGAAGAGTAATAGGTTTGATAATAAGCATGGGTAGAACTGGAATTCCAGCCCATTGGTCTCCATTACTGCACTGATTCTGTTGTCCAGCCCACTAATGTGTCATGAGCATGCAGATGTATGTATTTCACCTTGTAACAGAGAGAGAGAAAGAGAAAGAGATCTCAATGGAGAGCAAGGTCCCAGAATAATCTCAGTATGCTGGTAACAATTATAAAAAAGAACAAAATTGTCCTATGCTTCAGATAGGCGAATTAACTTTAGATTCTAGATTTGATACAAATGATTGTTTAGTGCTTATAATATTCTAGCTACTTTCCTAGGATCCTTTCTTTCTATCAGTGACAAAAAGTCACACATAGTCCTTACTTCAAATAACTTCAAGTCTTCTACAATAGATTCCTAGATAAATAATGAGGGAGACCTGTATTCTAATTTTATTCTGCTACCCACTTTGAATCAGCCAAAGGTTGACTTAAATATTGTTGTGCCTACTTTTTTCATAAATGCATAAGGAATTGTAACCTGTATTGTAAAGATGAATGATTATTTCATTTTTTTACAAAGAAAAAAATGACAGAAACTGAAGGATATGCTTCAAAAGTACTATAACAAGCTTATCAAGCTAGAAGTCTTTTTTTTTTCAAGAATCCTAATCATTCTAACTACAGAAAAAATTCTAGATTATAGCATTTAAAATCTTCAATAAATTGATAATAATCAGCACAGAGTAGCTTCTCTGTGTTATGCTAAGGATGATCTGACTCAACCAGACAACAACAAATTCTGCTTAAATTAGAATCTGCAAAGACATAGAACAGGTTTTGCTTGTTTCCAGAACTTTAGCTTGAGTATAAGTTTTGGAGATATATGTCTGTGTCTATGAGTCTGAGTTATTCACTCATTCAACAAGATTTAAGGTGCCATACACTTCCAGATATCATCGACTGCTAGTAAATGCTAATTAACAAGCAAGTAAACTGGAAAAATATCAAATGGAATACCTTAATGAGTGATATTACAGAGAAAAAAATGGAATATTTGCTTAGTAATTTAAGTAAATGGATATTATTTTCTAATATAAATTGGTAGTATATTCACTTAATATTTTTAAGGAAAAAAAACAGAAAAATACTTAGCATTTTACTACCACATTCAGAAAAATTGCAAGATTAGCTTGAAACTTTTAAAATCTCTAACCATTGAGTAATTTGAGTTTGACATATTTAATCACTGGACTATATATTAGAATGTATACTTCACGTATTGTTTTAAGTAACCTGGGCTAAGATGAGCTTCTCTAGACTTTTTAGGTCTTCAAACACATTCTAGTCACCAATATTAAATCTTCATACTAAAATATCAAAAATAAATGCGATATTTTTTAAATCTCCAAAAAGGCTGTCTTGGATCTAGGTCAGGCAGTGAATACCCTGATACATGTGAATATACAGTAGTAATCCCTTTCTCTGATTATAGCTAGACTCACTCTTTTTTACTTTTGGGTCACAGTTATATCTTACATAATCCAGCAGAGGGTGCTTCCTTTTTAGGGTTGGATTAGAATTAAATATGATAGGCAAAAAGTTAAAATCTTTTCATATTTCATTTCCAGTGATTGATTAAATCAAATCCCCTTGTAGTTTAATATATTTTCAGAAGTTTCCTAAGGATAGTTATCTTCATGCAGCATCACATGTTTTAACCAGCAATTACATAACAACAGTGTATGTGCACCTTTAACATGTTTACTGTCCTATTTTCCTTCTCGATTAGAAGTTATGATCCCTACTCAAAAGTTCCAGGTATATTCAACATAGGGACACTTTTGTTTAATAGTACTCCTTCCACTCTGGGAATATATAAGAAGTGTTGCTGCCATTTACAAAAACTATGTGTGTAAGTTGTGTGTCTGCACGTGTGTTTAGGAAGAAAAAAAAGGAGCTTTCTTTGAGAGAATTCTCCAAAACAAAAGCATAGTTTCAGAGCATTCACAACATCATTGGCCATGCTAAGAGTAGATGAAAATGTGTAACCTCTTCTCAAGAGCTAAATGGCCAGGTTTCAAGGAATAGTTCATTTTCTTAAGTGTGTGGCCCTGAATTTCCCTGCTGCATAAGAGTAGTTCCCGAAATTGTCATCTCAGGAGGATCCTAGTATTTTTTTTTTAATTCTTTTGCAGCAAGTCACCTAGTTCTGAAGTAGCTGGCCTTGCACAGAAGGTTCTGCTAAGGAATGTGAGGTACTCAAAATGGCTTTGAATCACACTTCTCAGAAGAGACAACCACAGGCATTACAAAGGAGAAAGCTGGAGTAGTCTCAGCTATCAAGTTAGCTTCAAGAGATTTTTCCCTCCCACCACTTTATGTATGATAGTGCAGTCAAATTTAATAAATGGAGATTATATTTCCCTGAGTATCTTGCAAGCAGACTCAAAAGCAGATTTTGCTTTTGAATCCCCTTCCATCTCAAATTATTACTGTTAAAAGTTGTACACCCGTATGGAAGACAGGCATTTCTGGAAATACAAAATAGTAGGAAATCTGTATCTTTGAGTGCTGAGCTAGCCCACACTAGAAGCAAAATACAAAGCTAAGAAAATGAGCTGGTTTTGGTGAGCAAATGTTTTATATCTGCACACAAGAAAACTGAGGACAGCTCTAACTTTAAATCCCATTAGAAAATGCTGTGATTAACTGCAGGACCCCACTGATTTTTCAGGTAATAGATGAACATGCCACAGTGAAATATTTCCCCTTCTTTATTTACAAACAAAAGAGGATTTTTATGTGGACAGAAATCAAAACATTACTGAAGCACTGGTTGCCTAAGCTTAAATTCTTTCACATTAACACAGATGCTTTATTATGTAACGTCAACATCTTCCATATTTTTGAATGGTTTTGAATGGTATAATCTGTAATATTTTGTGATTTCCCTTAAAATGGGTTGGTTTCTTCAGAAAGAATTCTGGACCTACAACATAATGAAGTAATTAACTAGAGAACAAAAGGTTTTTCTTTTGTTTCAGAAAAAACTTGCTTCTAAGACACAAGTTACACATGCATTATTTTTAGGACCATCAGCCTTGCCCTGGATGATGATTTTGTTGTCAGAAATGTTTTTATTATTTTCTGCAATACCAAAAAGACCCGACAAAACATTAATAGGATGATTGAGATAAAATGTGCTATATGTTGTTATGTTGCTTTTATAAATATTTTGGATTTGCCAATGTGATAGACTTTGATAAATCATAATATTTCTACAACTTAAAATCATTAACATCTATTTTGACTGATATCTATGTTAGGTAAGAACTACAAATTATATTGTAGACAAATGACTTAGAAAATCATATGCAAACAATTCAAAATATACTTAATTAAAATGCATTTTAAAAGTCCTTAACTGAAATAAAAATAAAAGTGCATTTTTTAAGAGTGTTGCCCCCACAATCCTTGGCTCACAGAATTTTATATATATATATATATATATATATATATATATATATATATATATATATATATACTATATATACACACACATACACACACACACACAAATATGCGTTTATATATATACAAATATGCATATATATATACACACACACAAACACATATATATATATGTGTTTTACACATACACATATATGTATTTTAGATGGAGTCTAGCTCTGTCGCCCAGGCTGGAGAGCAGTGGCACGATCTCAGCTCACCGCAGCCTCTGTCTCCTGGGTTCAAGCGATTCTCCTGCCTCAGCCTCCCGAGTAGCTGGAATTACAGGTGCTGGCCACCACAGCCAGCTAATTATTGAATTTTTAGTAGAGACGGGATTTCACTTGGCCAGGCTGGTCTTGAACTCCTGACCTCGTGATCCACTCACCTCAGCCTCCCAAAGTGCTGGCATTACAAGCATGAGCCACTGCACCCGGCCATAGAATTATATTAAACTTCACTATCACATTTTTCACTTCACAGCACATGCTATTCCCAAGTGTGAAACCCTTTATTATATAAGATGTGCTGCAAGAAGTGAGAGGAGTAAAAAAGGTAAAGAACCCAAGGAAAAGTTCCAAAAATGGCAAACTGTCAGCCTGCAAGAAGAGTTTGCCTCATTGACATATTTAATTAGCTTTTTCATGTTGACTAACATACTGCAATTTGGGAATTGGTTGTTGTGATGATATATGGCCCCCAAATATGTCTATATCCTAATTGCCAACACCTGCAAATGTTGCCTTATATGGCAATAGGGATTTTGCAGATATGATTAAGGATTTTGAGATGGGAAGATCATCCTGGATTATCACGGTGGGTCTGATGTAATCAGAACAGTCTTTATGAGAGATGAGATGCTGGAGGAGTCAGAGTCAGACAGAAAGAGATGTGAAAACAGAGGCAGAGGGATGGAGAAAACTTTGAAGAAGTTACCCTGCTGGCTTTGAATATACAAGAAGGGAGCCATGATCCAAAGGATGTAGGTAGCCTTTGGAATATGGCAAGGACAAGCAAATGGGTTCTTCCCTGGATCCTCTGGAAGGAGTAATCCTGCATACCCATTTTAGACTTCTGACCTCTAGAACTGTTAAGAGAATACATTTGTGTTGTTATCAGTTGTTAAATGTGTGGATTTTTTTTATAGCAGCAATAGCAAACTAATACAGTTGCCTATAATTTATCAAACTTAGAAGATTTCACATACAGATTCAGAATTATTTGTTTTTCCTTCTGTTGAGAACTGCAAAATCTAGTGAGGGCTGAGTGTCACCAACTCCTCCTGTCAATGACTGGTTAAAGCCATTCTCTTCAGAGGTTATGTCTTCTCTAGTCTACCAAGGCTATCAGACTCTGTTTTTAATCTGAAACCTCTGGTGGACATTTGAATTTGTGATTCCTGCTATGTATGGTCTTATATTTTGCATTTTACTTAACAGTCATCTCATATGTAGCTTTTTAAAGAATTATATCTAATTATCCACTTTTTACAAATGGCATTCTATTAAACTATTTTTATTAGGCTATTCTCACATTGCTATAAAGAAATACCTGAGACTGGGTAATTTATAAAGAAAACAGGTTTAATTGGCTCACACTTCTGCAGGCTGTACAGCAAGCATGGTGTTGGCCTCTTCTTGGCTCCTGGGGAGGCCTCAGGAAACTTACAATCATGGTAGAAGGCAAAAGGGGGAGCAGACACATTACATGACCAGAGCAAGAGTGAGAGAGGGAGCCAGGAGGTGCCATGCACTTTTCAACAATGAGATCTCATGAGAACAGCACCAAGGGGATGATGCTAAACCATTCAAGAGAGATATAACCTCGTGATCCAACTACCTGCCTCCAACATTGGGGATTACAATTCAACATGAGATTTGGGCCACCACACATATCCAAACTATGTCACTATTGATCCTGAGATTAAGTAAATGAGAATATCATTTACTTAATCATTTTCCACCATCCACCTCTGTTTGTCTTTAAACTTTTTGAAGATTTTCTACTCTTGGTGAGCCATAATTACATTATTTGTAGCATAAGTACCGTATTGAATAAGCGGGATTCAGGAGTATCTGGATGCAATCAGTGTGTTCTTTTTCACCGCTAGCTATCTCATCTGCTATTCTTTTGTGAAATCTCAGGCACACTGGGCACTCCTACATACTAACGTAATTTCATATCCTAGATATTAAAAAGCCCAATGCAGGTTAATATTAAGATTTCCCATTGCCCCTCAACTTTGGTTGGCTTTAAGCTGCAGTGAGGAAAAGCAGTATATGTGAGAAACAGGGTCAACTGTCCCTCCAGAGGCACTGAGTGAAGTCATTTCTTTCTTTTTCCAGCTTCTAGAGCTGCATGCATTGCATTCATCAGCTCATGGTCCCTTCCTGAACCCCCTTCTAAGCCAGCAGCTTAGCACAGCTTCAATCCTAACACTGACGTCTTCTTTAGCCGTATCTCTCTCTGCTTCCCTCTTGTAGGGACACTGTGATAACATTATTTGGCCCACCTGGATAATCTCGGCTACTTTCATCTTAAGATCCTTAACTTGATCACATCTGCAAAATCCTTGCCATATAAAGTGGCATTCATAGGTACCAGGAATTAGGACATGGACATCCTTCAGGGCCACAATTCAGCAAACTGCATTCAGCCTACAGAATTGAAGCCACAACAACAAAAAAGATTTTAGGCTAATTGGAATTCTAACTACCAAATTTTATGGTCCTCATCCTACGACTATTCTCTGTTGCATGTAAGATGGTTAACCACTTATTCCTTCTTTAAACATTTTCTTTCACTGGATTTCGGATGCTTCTTTCCCATGGCTGTCTTTCTTTTCTCCCTCTTCTGATAGATTCCATTCTTTCACCCGACTTTTGACTCTGCATTTATCCCCACCCCATTCTCCCACTGTGCATTTATCTATACCCATGTCTCCCAATGTCATAATTCCTAATGAATCCCAAATCTATATTTCAAGCTCCAGTCTCTTTTGCACCTGTATTTGCAACCACATTGTGGGCATTGTCCTCTGAAACTGAATGTTTCCAAAAACACACCCATTATCTTGTCTGGTAAACTTGTCAGTCTTCTCATATTTTTTTGTTTTCCTTCATTTTATTCCCTTTGGCACTATCATTGTTTAGGGAGTTAATTTTCTTTTACACCGGAGCTGCTGTAGCAGCCCTTAATTGGTAGCCCCATCCCAGTCTTTTCTCACTCAAATCCATTTTTCACATCATGGCTAGATTAACATTTCTTTTTTTGGAGTGCAGTGGCACTATCTTGGCTCACTGAAACCTCCACCTCCCGAGTTCAACCAGTTATCCTGCCTCAGCCTCCCGTGTAGCTGGGATCACAGGTGTGCGCCACCACCCCCACTAATTTATGTATTTTTAGTAGAGATAGGGTTTCGCCATGTTGGCCAGGCTGGTTTTGAACTCCTAACTTCAAGAGATCCATCTGCCTCAGCCTTCCAAAGTGCTAGGATGACAGGCGTGAGCTAGATTAACATAACATCTGACCTAGATTAACATTTCTACAACTTGAAAGTAGTCATATAATTCCATATGCAAAAGAACAAAAAACAAAAACAAAAACAAAAAACTTAGAGGCTGGGCACGGTGGTGGCTCATGCCTGTAATCCCAGTACTTTGGGAGGCCAAGGCAAGCGGATCACCTGAGGTCAGGAGCTCAAGACCAGCCTGACCAACATAGAGAAACCCCATCTCTACTAAAAATACAAAATTAGCCAGGCATGGTGGCCTGCGCCTGTAATCCCAGCTACTCCCGAGGCTGAGGCAGGAGAATTGCTTGAACCCGGGAGGTGGAGGTTGCAGTGAGCCAAGATGGCTCCTATAATCAACATTAGTTGATTATAGTGCATGGCTCCTATAATCAACATTGAGAATATGCATCTATGTAACAAATACCTGAGTTTGACTGTTGTTTAAGTTTTCTGTGTCTAAATAGCTTTATTTATAAAATGGGGCAGTGTATAACAGTCCATACCTGCATTAATTCTTATGAAACATTTAGAGTACTGCCTGCCATGCAATAAGGAGTACAAAGTGTTAAATAAAAATAAAGTGAAACTCTTCTCAAAAAAAAAAAAAAAAAAAAACCTTAGATAACCCCCTCCACCACCAGGATAAATTTAGAACTTTGACCCTCACATTGAATGTCATTTTTAATCTGGCCCTGCTCTAACTCTTCATGTACTTTTATTATCACTTCTTTTCAACTCCCAGCCACACTAGATGAATCTATTTCCAGGAAACATCTTGCACTTTTAGACTGGCTGGTATTTGCTCTTTTTTTTTCTACGTTTTCCTAAATAACATTCTACTTAGATGAAATTCTCCTTATTTTTAAGGCACAACTTCAGTGTTCCTCCTTCCTCTGAAATCCTTTTTCTACTTCCCATAGCACTTTTTACATATATTCATAATAATGAACACTGCTGTTTTTATATATCTGTATCTACCAAACAGTACGTTGTAATAAGCTAAGTTTCTTTAGAGCATAGTGTTTCATTCCTCTTAGTATCCCTAGTAGCAAGCATGGCTCCTATAATCAACATTGAGAATATGCATCTATGTAACAAATACCTGAGTTTGACTGTTGTTTAAGTTTTCTTTGTCTAAATAGCTTTATTTATAAAATGGGGCGGTGTATAATAGTCCATACCTGCATTAATTCTTATGAAACATTTAGAGTACTGCCTGCCATGTAATAAGGAGTACAAAGTGTTAAATAAAAATAAATAAAAGCCGGATGCAGTCGTGGGTATCTATAGTACCAGCTATTTGGGGAAGCTGAGACAGGAGGATCACTTCAGGCCAGGAATTTGAGGCTGCAGTGAGCTATAATCAACCCTGTAAATAGTCACTGCACTCCAGCCTAGGCAACGTAATGAGAACTTGTGTCTAAAAAAATAAAAATTAAAAACAAAAATAAAATGGTTAATCTTTATAAACAAGTGTTTGCTGAATTACATTAGATAATTATTATATATAAAACAAAAATTTTAAAAAATTCATAAGAAACTTACTTAGCATTAAAAAAGGAAATAATTTACGTATGCATGAAAAGGGTGAAATTATTCGGAAAGAGTAAACTTGTACAAGATGTTTTTGTCATGAGATAAGAAGAATAGAAATATGAGGGCATTTCTCATCTTGTTCCCCTGATGCTGATTCTTAGCACAGTTACCTCCAAAAAAAAAAAAAAAAAAAAAAAATACACCTCTTCAGTTGAATTAAGTCCATGGGACCACAAAGCAAAATGAGAAATTATCCTTTTAATTAGCTTCAGTGAGGTTCAATTAAATTATTTTCTGAGAATTAATAATAGTGGAAGAATTTTCTAGGTCTCCTTTTTCAAAGAAACATTTAAGTCTCTTTAAAAATCAAAACCATTACCATGAAAATTTCTTGACCAGAATGAAGAATTCTCTAGATATCTGCAATTAAAAAAATAGAATTAAGAAGTCTAATATTGGCATGATGTTTCTAAATTACTAAGATCATCATATAATTTGCCCAGCAGTCATTCTTTGAGCAAGCTCCTTTTGGAGTCAGAATGTAAGCAGGAAATTGAATCTGCAAAAGGAAGATCAATGAAGCATTCTGTCTTCAAATACTTACAGATGAATGAATAAGTGTTCAAGGATAAGGAATTGTCAAATTTGTGGAGATGAAAGGTAGGAAAGGAGGCACTAGAATAAGAATCAAGAATGGGTTCTTGCCTGGACTTACTCTATACTCAATATGTGACCCAAGGCAAGCTATCTAAACCTTTTCGGATCTCAGATTTCTCATTTCTGAGGTTGGAATAGATAATTTATATGATCTCTTTTAGCTCTAATTAACTTTGCTTCTATGTACAATAAAGAATATATGCATCTATAGTATTTAGGTGATATTCTGACTAGTTTTTAAAATAACTATAACTGAGATGTTATTTTCAAACTTGTTAATGAATCTCTTTTCTCCTTCCAAGTAAATACTTGGCCTTTTTGGTCTAAAGCGTCCATTTGCTTAGCGGGATATTAGGATTTGTATGAAAATAGTTAATCTTTCACTTTTGATGTTTTAAATGAGATTTTTCAGCAAGGCAACATATCAGCAAGCCCTGCTATTATCTTAAGAGAGGATTTACTAAATCCTATCAGCTACCATTTATCATGATAAGGGCTCAGCCTATAGCTTTTATCACATAGAGCTCTCACATAATGTAGAAAGCATACCCCTCCAGGCCGTGACATATGGCTCTAGGGCTTATCGCTTTATGATATAAGGGAGACATAATGTGGAGGTTTGAGGGAAATCCCAGACCTTTAGGCACCAGGAAATAGGAAGTCCATGATCTGGTCATCTGTTCTTTCTTGGATTCATCAGGAATTGGTTGCCCTTATTGCTGACTCAGTTTACCTCTGCTATCACGTGACTATAAATTCCTAAATGGGACTGATCCTTTGCCCAGGCTGCCCAGGCAGCCTGTCCCATGGTGCTTGGCTAGAGGATCACGTTTACACCTATTTCCTGCCACCTCTGCTGACAATCTCTACTGGCCTGCCATATTCAGCTTTCCCTCAGGGTACACAGATGATTCTAGATCATTTCCATACCACAGGGAAGTCAAACAGGGGGAGGAAATAGTTATTCAATGTGCCACTTCTTCCTATCTGATGCTTCCACCTGCAGGGCAGACCCTTGCTGACTCACAATAGGAAGTGAAGCAAAACACACTTTGCTCTCAACTCTCACCTCAACCTTTGCAGCCTTCATCTCTCTTAAGATTTCATGCTGGAAAAGGGAGGTCAGAACACAAGTATCTCACCACTTGCTTCTTTTTTTCTTCTTCCCTCAATCTTTAAAGTATGATTGTCCCTTGCCTCTACTTTAAAAGACATTTTTTTTTCCTCTTCTCTCCAGTGAGGGATTTACCTTAGTAATATCTTCTTTCTCCCGGACTCTATTCTAATGGATTAACTTTAATAGTGGGCAGGGTGTAGAAAAAAAAACTGTCTTGCTAATAAGGAAGCATGGAGTTATTTTTAAAATATTACATACATTATACAAACTAGTGACTATGACTTCAATTCTCCATAAAATTCTGGTATATGTTATAAAATGGATGCTTTTTACATACTTAAAAAAATTTGGGAAATAAAACAAGCACAGTGTATTTTTATTTGTGACATAATATAATTATAATATCTCCTAACATACTGTAACTTTTACTTTTTTAAAAAGGCAGAGAATGTGGACTGTGTGTTGTCACAGTCAAACTCAGTTTTTTAAATTGTCATATCCAAAAAATACTAATTAACTATTTTGTAAATTTGGAAATAACTTGGTATGTCACAGGTCACTTTTCCTGCACATTCATCATCTCTATGTATAATACAGAAACACTATTATTAATAGTAAGATACAACATTTATTCAGTCCTTACTAAGGACCAGACACAAAGTAACAGAATCCACACATCTTTTATTTCATTAAATAACTAGCTAGCTCTTGATGTTAGAAAAATTCAAAAACTAATTTGAAAGATTAGAAAAGCAAGCAGAAACTATTAAGATGAGAATGGTCCAAGTGCAGTAGTGTTTACAACTAAATTGATCACAAGCAGTTACAGATTTCCTTGTTCCTTCTCCGCTTCCACTGTTGCATTTGACTAGACTTAATTTTTTTTTTAAATTATGCATTAGTCTGTGATGAATTCAGTCAGTCATTAAGATAACAGCTCAGTATGGTAATAAATAATAATTATTATAATTTCAAAAAGAATCAAGTATACCTTTCCCCCTGATATGGTTTGACTGTGTCCCAACCTAAATCTCATTTTGAATTGTTCTCATAATCTCCACATGTCGTGGGAGGGACCAGGTGGAGATAACTGAATCATGTAGGCAGTCCCCATCCTGTTCTCATGATAGTGAGTTCTCATGAGATCTGATGGTTTTATAAGGGGCTTTTCCCTGTTTTGATTAGCATTTCTCCTTGCTGCCATCATGTGAAGAAAGACATGTTTGGTCCCCATACTGCCATGATTGAAAGTTTCCTGAGGCCTCTCCAGCCCTGCAGAAGTGTGAGTCAATTAAACCTCTTTCCTTTATAAATTACTCAGTCTTGGATATGTCCTTATAGCAGTGTGAGAACAGATTAATACAGTAAATTGGTACAGGGTACGGCAGCACTGCTGTAAAGATACCCAAAAATGTGAAAGTGACTTTGGAACTAGGTAACAGGGAGAGGCTGGAATAGCTTGGAGGGCTCAGAAGAAGATAAGGAAAATGTTGGAAAGTTTAGAACTTCCTAGAGACTTGTTGAATGGCTATGACCAAAATGCTGATAGGGATATGGACAATAAAGTCCAGGCTCAGGTGGTATCAGATGGGGATGAGGAACTTATTGGAAACTGGATTAAAGGTCACTCTTGCTATGCAAAGAGACTGGCAGCATTTTTCCCCTGCCCTAGAGATTCGTGGAACTTTGAACTTGAGAGAGATAATTTAGGGTATCTGGCAGAAGAAATTTTTAAGTGACGAAATGTTCAAGAAGCAGCAGAACAGGAAAGTTTGAAAAATTTGCAGCCTGACAATGCAATAGAAAAGAAAACCCCATTTTCTAGGAAGAAATTCAAGCCTACTGCAGAAATTTGCATAAGTAATTAGTAGCCAAATGTTAATCACCAAGACAATGGGGAAAATGCCTCCAGGGCTGGGTCAAGGGTCCCCCTGCTCTAGGCAACTCAGGACATGGTGCCCTGAGTCTCAGGTGCTTCAGTTTTAGCCATGGTTAAAAAGGGTCAACTTACAGCTCAGGCCATTTCTTCAGAGGGTGCAAACCCCAAGCCTTGGCGCCTCCCACTTGGTGTTGAGCCTGCAGGTGCACAGAAGTCAAGGATTGAGGTTTGGGAGCCTCTGCCTAGATTTCAGAGGATGTACGGAAATGCCTGGATGTCCAGGCAGAAGTCTGCTGCAGCAGTGGAGCCCTCATGGAGAACCTCTGCTAGGACAGTGGGGTAGGGGAATGTGGGGTCAGAGCCTGCACACAGAGTCCTCACTGGGGCACTGCCTAGTGGAGCTGTGAGAAGAGGGCCACTATCCTCCAGACCCCAGAAGGTAGATCCACAGACAGCTTGCACTGTGTGCCTGGAAAAGCTTCTGACACTCAACACCAGCTGTGAAAGCCCTAGGGCTGGGGCTTGCACCCTGCAAAGCCACAGAGGTAGAGCTTTCCAAGGCTTTTGGGGCTCACCTCTTGCATCAATGTGACCTAGATGTGCGACATGCCATCAAAGGAGATCATTTTCAAACTTTAAGGTTTAATGACTTCCCTATTGGATTTCAGACTTCTATGGGGCCTGTAGCCCCTTTGTTTTGGACAATTTCTCCCATTTAGAATAGGTGTATTTACCCAATTCCTGTACCCACTTTGTATCTAGGAAGTAACTAATTTGCTTTTGATTAACAGGCACATAGGTGGAAACGACTTGCCCTATCTCAAATGAGACTTTGGATTTGGACTTTTGAGCTAATGCTGGTGTGAGTTAAGACTTTGGGGAACTGTTGGGAAGCCATGAATGTGTTTTGAATTGTGATGACATGAGATTTGGGAGGGGCCAGGGGCAGAATGATATGATTTGGCTGTGTCCACACCCAAATCTCCTCTTGATTTTTAGTTCCAATAATACCAATATATAATGGGAAGGGCCAGGTGGAGATAATTAAATCATGAAAGCAGTTCCCCCATCCTGTTTTCATGATAGTGAGTTCTCACATGATCTGATTGTTTTATAAGGGGCTTCTCCCTTCTCTGGACACTCATTCTCTCCTTGCTGTCACCATGTGAAGAAGAATGTTTGCTTCCCCTTCCACCATGATTGTAAGTTTTCTGAGGCCTCCACATCCATGCTGAACTGTGAGTTAATTAAACCTCCTTCCTTTATAAATTACCCAGTCTCTGGTATGTCTTTATTACCAGCATGAGAACAGATTAATACACACACCCCCAAAAAAATGTTTATAATTTTGTAGGGAAACTAAAATTCATAAAAACAACTGCAATTAATTACAAAAAGTGTATAATGCTTTTAAAAAGAAGGATACTCTTCCAACTCCTCACTGCACATTTTCTATCTGCCTATTCTTATTGGATCTACTGAAAGAGAGGAGGGAGCTGCTAATCTCACAGGTCTAAGCACCTGTTGATGTCCTGGAGAGCAAGCACTTTCTTTCTGGTCCATAAGCACTCTCTCATTGGCTTATTCTTATTTTCAGTATCTCTCTTTCCAGGCACAATTGATTATTCTGGTC
Source organism: Homo sapiens (assembly GCF_000001405.40). Lineage (NCBI taxonomy): Eukaryota > Metazoa > Chordata > Mammalia > Primates > Hominidae > Homo > Homo sapiens. The sequence goes on along the minus strand of NC_000007.14, from coordinate 115,205,259 downwards.
TCAATATATAGATTTACGTTAGTGGTGGGGGGAAATAGGAGCAATAACTCTGGAATTTCTACAAGATATTGAGGAGGAGCATCTGTCTAAATTCCCTTCTTCCTTTGAAGAATCTGAGGATATAGACCTAGAAGAGCACCCAGGAAGTGCCGGCTATAAAAGGCTTGGAAGAGCACACTAATCCCTTGATAACAGATTTCTATTCATTGTACTGAAATTGTACACATAAAATTTGTATAACTGGCATGAAATGACAGGGATTCATGCTATGTAAAATTTGGAAGATTTTCTTTCTTTCTTGTCTTATTTTTTTCTCTGTCTACAATTCCTTCTCAGAGAAATCACTAAGTAACAATAACTTTTGGCTCTAAATGTGGGTGTTGAGCTGGCATTGTGATATTCTAAGGTGCCCTATTAAGCCTTTGGATCACTGGGTCACAATGGAGCATTTAGATTGGATTACCTGGAATTTAATGGTAAGAGGAAGCTACATTTATTTCAGTAATCCATTGTCTACATAAAAATGAATAGAAAAAAGGCATTGTAAAGGGATAATGTTGGCTCTTGGTTTTTCAGTGGGTGGAGGAACAAAGAATGTGATAGGAGAAAGTAATATATTAAAAGACTAAGAAACAATAAGGTAAACAGGAGTAACCAGTAGGATGGAAAAGTAGAGTAGAACTTAATTTGAAAAAACAGTATTTAAAAATGAATATAAATTAAGATTAAAAGAGTAAAATAAAATATTGGTTGTTATGTTAAATGTAAACAAGATAAAATCTGATTTTTGACAGCAGATGCTATCAAATTAGATGGTATAAAAAAGTTGTGCCAGGAGCAGTGGCTCACGCCTGTAATCCCAGCATTTTGGGAGGCTAAGGTGGGCAGATCACCTGAGGTCAGGAGTTTGAGATCAGCCTAACCAACATGGAGAAACCCCATCTCTCCTAAAAGTACAAAATTAGCCGGGTGTGGTGGTGCATGCCTGTAATTCCAGCTACTCAGGAGGCTGAGGCAGCAGAATCACTTGAACCTGGGAGGCGAAGTTTGCGGTGATCAGAGATAGCGCCATTGCACTCCAGCCTAGGCAACAAGAGCGAAACTCCATCCAAAAAAACAAAGTTTTATATCTTACCAGGCAAATTTACAGATAGTAGGACTAGCTATGAAATATCAGAAGACACAAAGAAAATATGAGTAGTGATATTACTAATAAAAAAGATAGAATTTAAGATTAAGGTACAGATAGAAACAAAGAGAATTATGTGAAAGTGAAAGCACCAAAATAAATAAAGAAGGTAAATAGTTAAAGCAAGCATTATTAAAAATTTATGAACAACATTTTTTAAAATAAAGTTACAGATGAATTACTTTCAATAAAAGAATGAAATACATATAAATAGAAATATACATTTTTAAATATCCATGGAATCACTTCAAAAATTATGCAATTGACTACAAAAAAAACCCTTAAATCTTATAATGTAGAACATTTATATTCTCTGATCAAAATTAATAATACTTAACAGCATTATCTTTAATCAAAATGAACTACATTTAAAAACAAATATTGTAAAATTACTAGCATATCTTATTAGAAAATAAAAAACTTTATCCTAAAAATATGCTTAGTCCAAAGAGAGTATTAAAATTAAATTTTTTAATTTAGAAAAAAAATAAAACATTTTCTACCAAAAGTTAATTTTAGCACATTGCTAAAACTATCCAAAGAGAAAAACAGATTTTAAAATATCTTCTTATTAAAAAGAAAGATGAAAGATAAATGGGATTACACCTTATCTCAAGAAATTATAAAAAGAACAAAAACTAAAAGACACTAAAATAACAATAATATCTGAAAAATAAATAAACAATAAAAATAATAGGATAAATGTTCTAAAAGTTGATATTTTTAAGGATCAGAAAATCAGTTAAAACTAGTAATCCTCTTAAAGACAAAAAGGAAAATTTTGAAAATAATTTTCAGATGTTTATTTCTTTTAATCCACATGAATCTTTGTAATTGCTTTGACCAGTAGTACGTGGTGGGGGTGACTCTAAGTGGCTTCTGAAGTTGGTCACAGAAGGTAAAACAGCTTCTGTCTGGCATTCTCACTCTTTCTTCCTCTCTCTCTTCCTCTCTCTCTCTTTTTCTCCTCTTTTCTCCACATAACTAGGGATCTAGTTTGCCTTGTAAAAATTTTGGCTATCCTGAAGACAACGTATTTTTTTCAGCAAATATTTAGTTAAACCTTCCTTAATATTCTGGGTAAACAGTATGCCCTTTTTTGAGTATGAGAGATAATAAACAAAATAAATAAATAAAAGAATCTAATATGTCAGATGGTGACAAGTGCTATGGAGAAAAACAAATAGGAAAGACGTTAGAGAGAACGAGAGAGGAGCTGGAGTTTCAAATAGGGTGGTTATGGAAGGCTTCTCTGTGAAATCAATTTTAGCCACGACTTGAAGGAGATCAGGGACAAACCATGAGGTTACCTGGGTTAAAGTTCTCCAGCTAAAGAGGGAATCACATGGCGTATTTGAGGAAACACAACCAGGCTGGTGTGGCCATGGCAGGAAGAATGAAAGGAATAATAGTAGGAGACAGGGTCAGAAAGTTAATGGAGATCCATTGGATGGCTTTGAGATGAGGAGTAACATTAGCTGACTTCAGTGTTAATAGGAACTGAGAAGGTAGAGTATTGAGAGGATCATCTACAGGCATAACAAAATCATCATGAATTAAGCAATTGATAATATTAGAGAAAATGTAAAGAGCCATGAGCTAGAATTCAAAAAATAAGAAAGGGTGTGTAGTTAACTGCAAAAAGAGTATAATTAATGTAACCCTCTGAACCTGAGATTCAGAAAATAATCAATGGCATAGATAAATAAATGAGCAGTATAACTCTACAAGTAAAGTGGAAACTTTGGAGGAAATTGATGAAATAAGTATCACAGAAGAGATCAAAATAATGGTTTTAAAATTGATTATTTAAAAAGACATCAAGACTACATGGTTCACAGTTCCATCTAACTTGTAAAATACAGATAATGCCAATGTTTTGAGGCAATTCAAGTAGAATAGAAATAGAAAGAAGTTAATTAAATTTGATAAAGATTATTTAGCAAAAGCAATAGCAAGTATCAATCTATCTGATAATAGAAAACCATTTATTTTAAAAGAAGGAACAAGAACAAGATGCTTGCTATCTATTATTATCCAACATCTCTTCAGAGATTTTTCTGTCTAGAATAGAGAAGAAAAACTAATCAGTGTCATTTTGGAAAATTAGCTCTTTTGCTAATAATATTACTGAATATCTAAGAAAACCCAAAAGATTCTATTAAAAACTACTTGAATATATGAGGAAATGTGGTAAGTGGCTAGATTAAGACAAATATTCAAATATCAATAACTTTCCTTTATACTAGCAAAAAGAAGATAGAAATAAAAAGGAAAATATTCCATTTGCAATAGAAACAACAATTATAAAGTATTCAAGAACAAATTTAACATGAAGTGTGTAGAATCCATAAAAATGAAACTATAAAATTCTGTGAAAGTCTATAAAATAAGGACAGAATAAACGAGAAGGTATACCATGTTGTGGGAGACGGTAATTTTAAATAATAGTTGCAACAATATATATCCCATCTCTCAGTGTGACATTGGCACTCCTTTCCAGCCCAGGCATGTGAGCGAGAAGCCTTTGAGTGGCTCTAGCCCCAGCCATCATCTGAGTGCAACTCCCTGAGAGACACCCAAGCCAAGGCCTTCTAACCAAGACACTCCCAAATTTCTGAACCACAGAAATTGAAAGGATAATAACTACTTATTGTATTTTAAGCCACAACATTTTAGGATGGCTTATTATGCAACAAAAAGTAACTAATACATGTGTTTTTGGATTGAAAGATTTACTGTTATGCCAAATACATATTGTCCCTCAAATTAATGACTTAAATGTAATTTGCATAAACACCTAATAGCGTTGTACTTTGTGTTGTACTGAGATAATATAATATCAAAATTTCTGGGAATATCAAGTTTAGAATAACCCAAAATATTTAAAAATAAAATTAATCAAAATAGAAATAGATTAATTGAAATGTTAGAACTGAAAAACAGATTCAAATGTATACAGAATTTAATATATGACAAAGGTGATAATTCTATTGAGTGGAGAATAATGATTAACTTTAAAATGTTCCTGGTGTAGCAGACATCCATTTTGCAGAAAATAATGTTAAGCTCATTCTCATTCTAGATAAGGTAAAACCTTAAATGTAAACATAAATAAAACCTCAAAAATATGTAATAAATATGTAAATATAATATGTAAAAAATAATAAATATATTTGCTATATAAAAATTAAAATAATAAAAGACAAGGTGATCATAAAGTAAAAAATGAGACTTATTTGCAATATATTAGATAATATCTGTAGTATACCAAAAACACCTCAAAATTGATAAAGTAATTATAAATATAGTTAAATGATATGAATAAGCAATTAAAAGAAAAGCAAATACAAATGACCAATGGACAGTAAAAAAATTCAATCAATATATAGGAAAACACAAATTAATTGTTTATTAAATTTTAGGTGCTAGGAATTCAACATCAAGCAAAAAAGAACAGTTATTGCTCTTATGAAGCTTATATTTTAGTTGACGGTAGAAGAGATTATATACAAGGAAAATATATAACCTAGGCCGGGCACAGTGGCTCATGTCTATAATCCTAGCACTTTGGGAGGCTGAGGCTGGTGGATCACGAGGTCAGGAGTTTGAGACCAGCCTGACCAACATGGTGAAACCCCATCTCCAATAAAAATACTAAAATTATTTGGGTGTGGTGGTGCGCACCTGTAATCCCTGCTACTCAGGAGGCTGAGGCAGGGCAATCACTTGAACCTGGGAGGCAGAGGTTGCAGTGAGCCAAGATCATGCTACTGCACTCCAGCCTGGGTGACAGAGTGAGACTCCGTCTCAGAAAAAAAAAGAAAAGAAAAGAAAAAGAAAGAAAGAAAGAAAGAAAGAAAGAAAGAAAGAAAGAAAGAAAGAAAGAAAGAAAGAAAGAAAGAAAAGAAAAGAAATAACCTGATGATAAGTGGTACAAAATTTAAAAAATGTAAAATCTGGATAAGGAATGATGATGAGGGAGGTTGGCTATTATAGATATATTAGTCTAGAATTACCTTAGTAAAGTGAATTTTTACCAGAATCCTCAATGAAGTAATAAAGCAGGCCAGCACATAACTGGAAGCTATTACATTACACTTATTAGATTGGCCAATGTGAAAAAGTAAGTGGGAATATTTAATGCTGTGAGTATTCAAGTAAATATGTCCTGTTACACATTACCAGTGAAAATGTGAACTGTTACAACTCATATGAAAGCCTAGCAATATCTATTATAATTTCACATCCTTCAACTCAATAGTCTTTACTCTAGGAAATCTATCCCAGAGAAATAGCAGGATCAGTACATTAAAGACCTATGTACAAAAATGTTTAACAAAATATTAGAGTAGCATATTGCTTATTGTTTACAGTTCACACCATTCTAAATAAAGTAAAGACATATGCAAAAATAAAGCCTCGAAAATTCTGGAAGAATGTACATATATGTTTGCATGGACCGTTTTTGTTAAAACAGAATGCTCAGAATATATTTAGAAAGACATATTAACTACATAAAAAATTAAAATTATATAAGGCAAAGTTTTCATAAAGAAAGTAAAAAATGTGAATAGTTGAATAAATTGTGGTGTATCTCTACCATAGAAGAGCCTGCACCGATTGCAAAAAATCAGTTAGGTCTATACTTGTTCATATTGACAGATTTCTTCAGTGTATTCATGAATGAGGAAAAGTAAGAATCAAAGAGGTGTATACAAATATGATTCTGTTTAAATGATACAAAAAAGAAATCTACAACCATGCCCTGGGAAGAACCCTTGTTTAGTATTAACATTTTTTTCCTCATGTTGAAGTATCTTAAATTTTAATTCCTGGGGAGGTAGAGTGATATTCATAATACATTTGGGAAGAATATACTGGATATGTTTCATTCATCTGAACCATTTTGTTTATTTGGGGTTTGAGGACCTTTGGGGAAAAGTTCTGCTCTGCAACTCCTGGAGCAGCTATAGCCCCTGGGGGAGGTCTGTGCTAATCCACCACAGCCCTTTTCTCTTGGAGTGGGCCCCTGCTCACAGGCACTCTTGCTCTTCTCTGCTCCTGTGTTCTACATCTTTCAGGGCAGGCCTTTGCCTCCCCTACAGATACACAGGATAATGAACCTGCTCCAGCTGAGCAGTTCCTGCTACTGGGAGGTTAAGTCAACCTGAATCTGAAGTTAAATTTGCAGACCCACTGGCTTTCACATGTTCCAACTTAGCCTTGTGTAAATTGTACTATATTGTTGGCCTCTGTTTGCTACTTTTATTTCTCAATTTGTTCAGAACCTAGACAGTGAAAGAAGATTGCTCAACTCTCATCAAAGGGCCATATACAAATACTTATAGATGATAATATGACCACAGATAATGGATGAAGAGTGCATAAAGTTCAAAGAAAAGATAAGAGAGTAAAGAAATTAAGAGGGGAGTAAGATAAAAACTTTAAAATGCTATACTTTAAAAAATATAAATGGGAATCAGGAATAGAAGAGAATGTATGATGTGTAACCATTTTTTGTAAAATGGTAATGACTGTGTATATATGAAAGATATTCTCGAAAATTATAATCACTAAAACATTAATAGTAGCATCTGAGTGTGATAGGATTTCAAGCAATCTTTACTTTCTCCCATATACTTCTGAATACTGTTTGATTTTTTTTACAATATACATATTTTTTTGCATGTCTGTGGAATGAGTCAAAAGCCTTCCCTGTAAGACTCAGATTACAAACAAGTAGAAGAAGAGAACTAGTACCTATTGTGGATATAGATGTGTGTGCGCGTGTGTGTGTGTGTGTGTGTCCTCTTCCCAGACTTAAATTCACACAGAAGTGTTTGTATGTATTTCTCAAATTTTTATTATATACAATTTAACATTTCAGTGTGAATTTAATTTAAAGCTGAGAAGGGAATTATATTATTCAAACATGATTTATTCTTCGTTATATCATTTAAATTCATTGAATAACGACTTCAGTTAAGCTAGGTCAGACAAAATGGTTAGATATACCCTAGGTAGAAATGTGGAGAGAGGGTGAATGGTGTTTGTGATATACATTATAGCTTTAGCGTGAACACCTTGTATTTTGTGCACACACATTTCAAACATATTGGAGCAACAATAAAGAGGCAGATTCCATTGGCAAGGGGATAAGTGTTGCAATGCCAATAATGGTGGGTTTCGGGGAGAGTAGGAGATTGGGTAGCCTCAAAAAAGTCAAAACAGAACAGCAGGACTCCTTGCTGATGTGGTTTGGCTGTGTCTCCACACAAATCTCATCTTGAATTGTAGCTCCCATAATTCCCATGTGTTGTGAGAGGGACCCAGTAGGAGATAATTGAATCATGAGGGCAGTTTTTCCCAAACTGTTCTTGTGGTAGTGAATAATTCTCATGAGATCTGATGGTTTTATAAGGAATTTCCCCTTTTGCTTGGCTCTCATTCTCTCTTGTCTGTTGCCTTGATTGTAAGGCCTCCCCAGCCACGTGGAACTTTGAATCCATTAAACCTCTTTTTCTTTGTAAATTACCCAGTCTTGTATATGTCTTTATCAGCAGCATGAGAACAGACTAATACACTTGTGAAGTTTTGGAATCCTGCCTCAAGGGGCACAACACAGTCTAATGTGTTAAATGAGAACACTAGCCCAAGATAGGGAGAAGGGACTCTTCTGCTCACTTTCTACAAACTATTTCCTCTTACTTGATGCCTATTGACATTTCAAGGGAAGGAAATTTGCCAGTCTGATCTAAGAGAGTCCAGGATATTTATCAAGCCTGAGTTTACAACGGCTACTATTCCCCCAAAAGTCAACTCAACCCAGAACTCTTCCCTTTTCCTGCTGAGTTGACCCAGGCGGGGCCATTATCTGTGAGGTGGGCTCAGCCAGGTAGCTCCTTCCTTACCTCCTCCAAGCAATCAACAGGATAGGTAAGTCAGACCAGATTCCACATCGCAGATGCCATCATGACTCTCCTTTCTCAATGAGTTAGGCAAATCTGAGAGTGGAGGTCCTATTTTTAATTTGCAGCAATGAAAAAGAGAACATATAGCCTAGATTAGGTCTATAGCCTAGGCTGCACAGGACTGTGCAACTACTAATAATGTATAACAATGATTCCCATTTTTCTATTGCATGTAGTTTCCTCAGGAAGTCTGTGAAGAAGAAGTGATTGGAAGGACAAAATTTGACCATTCCTGGGTCCCAAGTTATAGTACTATCAAAATACTTTCAAAATATTACTCTTAAAACCTAAAAGTACAGAAGAACTATTGAAGTGAGAGAATAAATGTAATCTCTCTCACCGAATTTTAAACATCAGTTTCAAAATATCTGAATAATAAAACAGTAAAATCAGAATAGAAGCCTCCTTACTTAACAACAGTTTGTGTATTAAAAAACCTAGAGACTTTGAATGAACAAGATATAAGTGGGCCAAATGCTTGCCAATTTAATCCATGTTCTATGGGATGGATAGAAACATAGTGCCCTGGAAAAAGACGTAAAGTTCTCACTATTCTCTTTAAAAACTTCAAACATTTATGTTTCATTTTTTACATTAAAATTTAAGCATATTGTTGAAAATGAAAATGCATGCAAAAGGGCTTAGTTAGAATGGGACATCTTAGAAATCAATTCATCAGTATATGACTGAAGAATAAGGGGTATTTCTCCCAGAGGAAAAATGGTTTGGGAACCTCAGGGTAAAGATTTGCACGGCTACAATTTAAAAATAATTTACTTAGGTTGCAATGAGCTGAGATCGCGCCACTGCACTCCAGCCTGAGCGACAGAGCGAGACTCTGTCTCAAAAAAACAAAAAAAATTACTTAATGTAACTCCCAAAGATCAATGGGTAGCTATATAATCAAACAATATTTTCTTAGTATAAAAGAACTTTCTAATAACTGGAGATTCTAAAAAGTAGAATGAGCTACTGCTAAGTTAGTATTTCCCTGCATCTCTCTTGCATAGTGACTCTTAGGGAAATAAAGGTGTGTATATAAATAGACACACACACATATATGTGCGTGTGTGTATATATGTGTATAAATATATACACATGCACATATATAAACTACATATATAAACTACATAAGCTTACTATATTTTTTCTGATAAAAGATGTGTAGAACCTAATTTATAATACTAAAATAAAATAGATAAAATTCTTTTCTTGATACATTCCATATAGCCAATTGATTTTCACAGGATGCCGTTTTAAATTTTTGCCAGATGTATCCAGAGCCAACCCATGATTGAATGGGTACAGTTCCAACTTGAATGTTAGTTGATAATTTCATTTATATTAATAAAAGTGAAATAATGAACACATTCATTAAGATGTGTTCATTGATTCAGAACTTTACTCATGTATCAATGATGTTAATGACTATGTCACTGAATCGTATAATAGTTTTTGAATACTAAAATAATATTTTCTCAAATTTTTGGTGCTAGTTACAATGTAATAGCTAAATACGCACCTCATATATTTAGACTGTGTTATTAACATTATCTCCATCACTTTCTTAAGTCCAGGCAATCCACAAAACAATTAACCAATCCCTGATTTGTTGTGTTTACCAATTTCCAAGATTTGAGTACTCCTACCAAGGCCAATTTCAAGTTACAACATAATACCGTTGAAAATAGAGCAAAAAGAATTGTGCAATAGTACATTATAAAGTATTTTCACCATACAGATATAAGAAATTTAAGTAACATCAAGAGCATAGATAACAGTAAAATGTAATAACATAATTAGGATGTAATGACTTATAAGTATCTATTACCTTTATTTTTAATTTAATTATGAGTTTATAAAATTTATTTTTTAATAACAATGTTTTTTTCACTTCTAATATAATGTTATAGGAAAAAGAGTTTTTAACAACTGGCTTAAAAAATTCCTGAAAATTTAACAATCAGCTCTGTGGACCAGAACAAGCTGACTCCAGCACACCAATGGGATTGTGGTACTTTTTGTACACGAAACTTAACCACATACAGACCAAAACACAGACTTCAATGGAAAACACAGTGGAAGAAAAATTTAAGAGAAGCAACGTACCTATTTCTCAGTTTAGGAAAATCAGTTATAATTTATTCCCCTCTATATCTGAAAATATCTATTTTGTCCACTAGCCTTATTAATTTTTATTCTTTGGCTTTATATTTCCCATATTACACACACACACACACACACACACAATGGCATTAAAGAATTACAGGAGTAAGGTGTAGAAAAAGGATTCCAAGTAGACACTTGCAGATCTTAAATATTGTTTAAAAAAGAACAAAGGAAGAAGAATCATCAATATTTATAATGAATTTCCTAAATAGAGCAACAGTACCAAAAAGGAGACTATCTTAACTACTAATTTGAAATGTATAATAGGCAACTTAAGAAACAGCACATTCCTTAGTTCAGTATACCCACATACACTGTTTCATTTTTTCCAAACAACATAATAAAAGATGGAAAAAACACCCAGTTCACAACTGGAAGTCTATTACATTTTCAAATTTGATAGTTTTCTTTGCCCCCAAATTTACAAAACAATAAAAAACAATTTAATTTAAAAAATTAAAAAAATAAAACTCCTATCTTTTGCCATTTTTCATTACCAATGATTAAGAAATTTAGATTTCAAATGTTACTGGTATTCCTATAATCCAAATAAGATTTATGTATATATCCTAGGCACAAATGTAAATTTTCTCATGGATGTTTTGGTTATCTGTAGAATAAATGTGCTCAATTTTAATCTGTATTTTTGGTATAACACGAACTTAGACCAATATATATTAATTCTGATTGAATCATATAGATTCATATAATAGACACAGCAGGAATTATGTGAGAATTAATGTCTACCATATTTTATATGTATGATAAATTCAAATTATTATGAATAGTATACTGAAAATATTTACTTGTTATTTCCATAAGATAATCATGTTCATTTTTAAGACTTCAATAAGGCCATAAAATATGAAAATGCTAAATCTCTCTTCTAATGGTACTAAAATTTAAATTTTACTGTCTGGCTTTGGTGTCACTCTACCACTAGTTTCAGCATAATATCTTATCTTAATTTAGGAAAATAAGACTAGAAGTTCAAAGGCAGCCAAAAGTAAATCTACTTTTTAACCTCGTACTTATATGGAATCTATTTTTCTTATATTCTTATATCCACACATTTTAATATATCTAAAAAGGATGGAAACTTGAAGCATTAACCTACATTTTTATGTTTTCAACCTAATTTGTCATACATTCCAATTAGTGTTTTCTCCAGCTACTTTTAGTTTTTCTATTGTATTTACTCACCTACAGTGGATTTTGAAAAGTTTGACAGCTATTAAAGTAGAGAATATCAAAGAGGTTAGTTAGTGCCCTTATGAAAATCCAAGAAGTCATTGAAATACAAAGAAGAAATTGGAATTGTTTCATTCCTACTCAATTTACAGAGAAGCATCAGAATTTGGTTGGGATTTATATTTTAAATAGCATTATACATATCTATTCCTTTTTTTGTGTATGTATAATGGCATTTTGGATCCTTTGAAACTGTCAATTTTAAAGCCGGTTTCTTTGAAAATACCCGAGGAACTAATTGCTTGGATGTGTTAAATATGGAACCATACTGCATATTTCTTATACATGTTAAATGCCACTATCAATTCTTCTCTAGAAAATTTATTTCTACCTGCAGTGCCCATTCGTGTTGTTAATAAGAAAATTTGCCACAAATATTAATTTTTAGATAAATCAAATGACAAAAGCCTTTTTATGAACTTTTAAATAATATATGAACAAAATACACATATATATGTGAGTATATGTACACATACACACAAACATGTATATGTCATATATACACATCTAGCATTTTAAATCTTTTAAGATACTTCCCAGTTCTTAAAAGGTTTTCATATCTTGAAAAGTATGTTAATATGCTATTTTGTTCTAGCTATTATCAGAATTTGACACATAAGCCTCTTAAATATTGCTTTCAACTTTTTAAGAACCTTTGGTTTTTCCAGACTTGGATTACCTTATTATAAAATTTATTGAAGGCTAATAATTATTAGGACATGTGGCAGGCAGTTATCACAAGGAACATCACACTATTGGCTCTATGTACAAGCTACAATAGGGCAAATGGTACAATTAGAGGCACATTCTTTGGTGCATAACAATAGAAGCCTTAGTGACACTGCAAGATTAAGAAAAGGCTAAAACATCTTTAAAACTACTCATTACTACCAGTCAAAATGTGCATATTTGACCTTTATGGTAATCAGAAGAATCTCTGCCAATGCAGTAGGCAGCTAAATAATCATCACTTTCCATACACAGTTTTCCTTGAAGTGACCTAAGGTTAACATAGTTGATCCTGAAGCTGACACAAACATTGAGTCAACTCATCAGCGGTCACAGTGAAAGGCCACCGTCTTCATCGCCTAGGTTACAATGACAGGATAAAAGGAGTGTTGCAGATTTTTCTATGTAAGAGACGGTAGGACTTAAATGTTGACTGTTCTGTATATTTTGAAGGTTACAAAATTACTTAGAAATCTCTCCCTCAGGTGCAGATTGACTCTGTGTTATGATAATCGTGCAAGTTGCATCAAAAATAATTGCTTAGTTTATTACCTTGTTGTCTTATATTAAACCTTTATGCTGGATTCAGAAATCTCTTATTCTTGATCTTTGTTCCTTTCTATAAGTCTACTATTAATGCTACTTACTTTAATTTGAATATATTAACAGTTGCAATGAAGAATCTCAAAGCTAAATTGTTATCTCCAAATAACATAAAACCTACACTATAACTACAGCTAATACAGCAACTCTAACATCTGAGGGAAAAAAGATTCTTAATCATGCGGAATAAATTAAAAGGCTTTCTTAATGCCCCTCCCTCAAATATTACACCTGAAGATCTAGAAATCTGTAGCTACAGTAGTTATAATTCTTGAATAATTGGCACTTAAAATCAAATGAAACTAATTTTTGTGTTGGCGAGCTCATCATTCTCCAATTTTCATAGTAAAACATCCTATCAAGTAACTACAAGATAATTATGTCATAGATGTTATTTCTCTGATGGTTTTTTGAGGAGAATAATGTACCCTGTAGAAACAGAATAATTTAACAGTCATCAAAATTAGAGCAGGCAGATAAAAACTTTTTTAAAAGGTAGCCAAAGAAAGAGTTTTTTTTTTAAGGCACAAAGCCAAAATTCCCCAATAACCCTGGCTTGGTCGTCACTTAAAAGTAGTCATTCATAATTCTTCATAATGTATACAATACTAATCTGTGTGTACATAGAAAATCTGGCAACTTCCTGTACTTCAAAGTCATTGCCTTTGCTATGAGACCTAGAAAGTGCTTCAGGATTCATTATGACATGTGGAATATATAAGCAATAAGGCATGACAGGGAGTGTGGTTATCATAAGATAATCACACCCCTGGGTCATTACAAAGTAAGAGGTGCAGTGGCGCACCTCTCATTCCCCCTGGGGTGTGATTACAGCAGGATAAGCACACTTCATGCCATCACCTTATTGCTTTTATAAAAAGTCTTTGTTGGGGAAAAAAATTGTAATTTTTTTCACTTAAATAAGATAAAGTTGGCAGTTTCAAACGTTAACAGTAGTTTCAGCTAGGCCAGATAGTTTATGTGTATTAATCTTCTCCTTTAAAATGTACAGCTGCCAACACCACTCAGAATTCACTCTAAGACAGAGCCTATTATGTTTTTGTGTGTTCAAATGATTCACCTTAGGATAGAAGTGTGCCATTATCACAAAAAGTCTAATATCTAGAAAGAACAGTTCAAAGAAACAATTTGTTCCAAATTGTTATCTTTTTTCTAAAGTACACTCTCAGAAAAGGTGTACAGATTGAATTAAGTAAAATGCAACATAAAGTAGTTGATATCCAAGCATTGGGCTGTGAGGTATTTATAATTTCTAATTTTCTCCATTTAGTTCATTTCTCCCAAAATTCAGATGACAACTCAATTTTAGGTACTAGATAAGTTACCACATCTCATTGCTGTCATTCAAATTATATCCTAAGGGCCCTATTGCAATCTTACAAATTGATAAATTCTTGTCTTATATAGTATGTCTTCTATTACTTAACACTAATCCTCTTTGCTTTATCCAATATTCTACCATCTTAAGGCAAACCTCAATTAATGATCATCATATATAATCCAAACAATAATTACATTATGACATTGGATTTTTCTGTATATATTTGGAACATTTATTTTCATAAAATTCTTGTGCAGAAGATAACAGGTAGATAATGTTATTCACATTTGATGGAAGAGTAAAACAAAGCATTTAAAAAAAACTAAGTTATAAGGTTAATTCAGTTAGTCCCAAAGTTCATATCCTACTTCCAATAATAAATACTTTTTTAAAAATAAGAGCATTTACAGAAAATTACATTTAACAAATATCTCAACCTTCTTTAGCTTCAGTTTCCTCATCTGTAAAGTAAGAATGTGAAAGTAGATGGTCTTTATAATGCATCTCAATCCTGCTATTTTGAGAATGCCTTTCTTGTACAATAGTAGTAACTATTATGGGACAATTAACTTTAGGCAGTTACCTCTATCCTCAAAGACTGAATCATCATGTAGCCAGTAGTTTGGAAAAGAAGACATTTTGCTAATAAAAGAAGGAAATAGGTGAAACATAAAACATTGAAACTGAGAGCAATCTGACTTCAGCTTTTTCTATTTCCACAGATAAAATTTGGATGTTTGTTGTTGTTGCTGGATTTGAAGGAAAGGATGCTCTTTATGCTAAGATCACTCCTCATTATTCTCAAGAAGAAAAAATATTGTGTGCACATTTTGGAGAATGGAAATTGGGGGTCCCTTCTATGTTGGTCATTTTTGCTTCTGCATAAAATAATAGAGATAATTAGTCATCACCTTGATGTAGACAATGTGAGTTCATAGGCAGTGGCCTTTTTACCTGACTTCAAGGCATTGGTAAACTTCACAAGGATCTGCTACTTTTCTCCTGAGCCACCACTAGCATAGAATATCTTTCCATTAATAGAGAATATTAAAAATCTTCTAAAACATCATCTATACCTGTAGGTACCTGGTCCTTGATTGGTGCTCTCCCACCTACCCTCTCCACTGCTAGGTTTTTCATATCACGCTATTGTTGTTCTTTTCATGGTTGTTTTGCTTTTGGGTCTTAGTCTGTCACAGTATACTTCTGTGCATTCCTCACCTCCCACACCAAATCAGAGGTGGCTTTTGCTACCCTTCCCAGAAACACCTCCCAATTTCACAAACATATCTATCTTCATACCTCTGAGTTGAAGATTTTCTATCACTTAATAAGGAAAGAAAAAAAAAAGAATAACAGATACACCCCTCCCAAATCTGACACAAATACCTTTCCCTCTTTGAAGACACAACCCTTTTATTATCTCTCTAACCTGCTTCATAATAGAAATGGGAAAGAATCACTCTACCTAATTCAATGGGAACATTGTTACTCTACTAACACTTTTATGGGATATTTTGCATGAAAGTGGCTATTTCTCTAAAACTAGAAATACATTATCTCACATTTCTCTAAATTAGAAATTGAAGCACATGAAATATTTTCTTTTCAGCTGTGAATAATGTCTACCTACCTCCACTTTATCTATTGAGTCAGTGGGTAACTTTTGGATAAGAAAAACAGTTCTTCACAGGCTTTATGTTCCATGTTTCTAAATAATAGGAAATAAAGCCTGCATAGTAATCATATAAGAATTAGTTCATGAATTTTTAGGTTCCTCAGACTGAAATGGATGGGCAGCCCACCAAGAGGCTATTTTTGCATGTAAAATTGAAAAAACTCTTGAACTAGAAACACAGAAACCTGATGTGAGATAAAGAGTACCATAGCCCTTCGCCCATATTACAGGCTTACGTCAGTTTACATACTCAGAGCTCCTTGAACAAAGTAGGCTTAAAGGGACCTGCATCAATTGCACTGGCAAAAGGAAACACCCAGACCTTTCAGGATTGTGGCCCTTGCTCTGAGCACTCTCTAATTCCTAGGGATTCAGAATACCAATATACAGCACTTAAAATGGAAACTTACCAGACTCAGGTGAGAAAGGCAATTTCAACCTGAATTTTTTTTTTTTTTAATGGTAACAGTGGAAGCTAATTTTACTGCAGGGAACCAACCAATCTCATGGATTCTCTGTGGAAATATATATTATTATACCACCTTAAGAAAGAAATTTGGCATTGTGTATCAAATGCCTTTTTTAAAGTTTATGCACTCTTAGCATTTAATTACACTTTCTGTAGAAATAATTTAAAATCACAAACTAATTAATAAGGGTTTGACTCAAAGATAAGTATTTATTTTAAAATTACTTGAAAATAGCATAAACAATCAATGATTCAATATTACATTTATATAAAATATATTGTGATTATGAATGATGTCTTAAAACTGTTTAAACTACATTATTAAATGAAAGTACATCTACAACCATCCAATCTTCGACAAACCTGACAAAAACAAGCAATGGGGAAAGGACCTCCTATTCAATAAATGGTGCTGGGAAACTGGCTCGCCATATGCAGAAAACTGAAACTGGACCCCTTCCTTAAACCTCATACAAAAATTAACTCAAGATGGATTAGAGACTTAAATGTAAAACCCAAAACCATAAAATCCCTAGAAGAAAACCTAGGCAATACCATTTAGGACATAAGCATGGGCAAAGACTTCATGATGAAAACACCAAAAGCAATTGCAACAAAAGCCAAAATTGACAAATGGAATCTAATTAAACTAAAGCGCTTCTGCACAGCAAAAGAAACTATCATCAGAGTGAACAGGCACCCTACAGGATGGGAGAAAATTTTTGCAAGCTACCCATCTGACAAAGTCCTAATATCCAGAATCTACAAGGAATTTAAACAAATTTATAAGAAAAAAAAATCAACCCCATCAAAAAGTGGGTGAAGGATATGAACAGACACTTTTCAAAAGAAGACATTTATGGAGTCAACAAACATGAAAAAAAGCTCAGCATCACCGATCATTAGAGAAATGCAAATCAAAACCACAATGAGATACCATTTCAAGCCAGTCACAATGGTGAATATTAAAACATCAAGAAACAATAGATGCTGGCAAGGCTATGGAGAAATAGGAACACTTTTACACTGTTGGTGGGAATGCAAATTAGATCAACCATTGTGGAAGACAGTGTGGCGATTCCTCAAGGATCTAGAACCAGAAATACCATTTGACCCACTGATCTCATTACTGGGTATATACCCAAAGGAATATAAATCATTCTTCTATAAAGACACATGCACACATGTTTATTTCAGCACTATTTCCAATAGCAAAGACATGGAATCAACCCAAACGTCCATCAATAGACTGCATAAAGAAAACGTGATACATATACACCATGGAACACTACACAGCCATAAAAAGGGAATGAGATCACATCCTTTGCAGGGACATGGATGTAGCTGGAAGCCATCATTCTCAGCAAACTAACACAGGAACAGAAAACCAAACACTGCATGTTTTCACTCATAAGTGAGAGCTGAACAATGAAAACAGATGGACACAGGGAGGGGAACAACACACACCAGAGCCTGTTGCGGGGTGAGGGGAGGGAACTTAGAGGATGGGTCAATAGATGCAGCAAACCACCATGGCGCATGTATACCTATGTAACAAATCTGCACCTTCTGCACATCTATCACGGAACTTAAAGTAAAAAATAATAAAACATAAATAAATTTTTAAAAAAGAAAAAGTTGAATATGAAATTATAAAGTTTGATTGAAACTATATAAAAATATAAATATCAATGATCCAAATTTTGGCAGTATTTATCTTTTGTATAACTGTTAATAGAATTACAGATATTAACATGCTATGGTTTGAATGTTTATCCTCACCAAAACTCATGTTGAAAGTTAATTGCCATTGTAACAGTATTGAGAGGTGAGACCTTTAAAACATGATTAGACTATAAGGGCTCCACTCTCATAGATGGGATTGGTACCATTATAAAATGACCAGTTTGGCCCCATCTTGCCCTCTCTCACCCTCTCACCTTCCACGATGTAATTATGCAGAAAGAAGGCTCTCATCAGAAGTTGGCACCTTGATATTGGATTTTCCAGCCTTTAGAACTGTGAGCCAATAAATTTCTGTTTATTATAAATTACTCAGTCTTGGTTATTCTGTTATAGTGGCACAAAATGAACTAAGACATGAGGATACAATACATTTCCTTATTTTCTTCTTTTTCTACTTTCCAAATTGTTTTATTAATTTTAAAATGCTAATTTAAAATTTATTTGTGATGAGTAAGAGACATAATTTAGCAAGATAGAGACATCATTTTATTATATTTTATTTATATAATTATATAAATAATTATATATTTTATTACTACAAAAACATAGAACATGAAATAAACCATATATTTTAACTACAACTATATTACTAGTCCATAAATCTGTAATAATGCAATGTTAACAGGAAAGTTTATAGCACTAATGCCTTTATCAAGAAGTTAGAAAGATCTCAAATTAACAATCTAACTTTGCACTTAAAGGAACTAGGAAGAAAACAGCAAACCAAATCCAAAGCTACCAGAAGAAAAGAAATAAACTAGCAAAGAACTAAATGAAATTAAGATGCAAAAATCCATACAAAGATCAATGAAACCAAGAATTTGTTCCTTGTAAAAATAAACAAAATGGATGACCACTAGCTAGATTAACAAAGAAAAAATTAAGACCCAAATGAGTTCAATAAAAAATGACAGATGACATTATAGCCAAACCCACAGAAAAAAGATTCTCAGAGAATACTATGAACAGCTCTATGCACACCAATTAGAAAATCTAGAGGAAATGGATAAATCCTGAAAATATATAATCTCCCAAGATTAAATGTGGAAGAGTCTGAAACCCTGAATAGACCAATATTGAACTCTGAAACTGAATTGGTAATTTAAAAACCTACCAACCAAAAAACTCCCAGATGGATTCATAGCTAAATTTTACCAGATGCACAAAGAACATCAAATACACAAATGTAATACTTTTTCAGGAATTAGAGTATAAGGCGAAGACAGAAAATATGTAATTAGGTGTTAATTGGTATATTTGTTATGCTTGTTTTCATCCGTTTATACTAAGGAACTCATGCCAGGCTTGCAATTTGATCATTAGTATCTGTCTTTGACTTAGAGGGCATAGGAGTGGTGACCTCAATGATTCTATACTACACATACTATGGTGCTATTGTAGAAGCTTGCTTTTCTATTCTCTTCCAGCATTATTTTGCACAGTATCCCGAAACCAAATTCTAGATGGCCAACTGTTGACAAGAATTACAATTTTAATCTACAAGCATGTAGATGAATTATTACTTTACTAAACTGATCAGATGTTGCTGAATTCTGCATTAGGCCTATAAATTATTTAATATAACTTTGTTAATTGTCCATGTAGTTCTTCTAGTTTCTTAATAAAACTAATTGTTTTTCAATACTCAACCACCATTTTATCATTTCTTAGACAATTCCCTTAAACTTATGTATGGGTCTTACACAATTAAATACTGAAAGTTGCGGAGGTAAAAAGCTCAACATGCATCATTTACAATGTCCTTTTAGATAAATAGTAGGCATAGATATGTTTATAAGAGTATCCAATTTCATGCAATGTAATAGTCATTTTTCTTACATTAAATATATCATATATCAAAATAAACACTGATGAACAAAAAAATGAGACATGTTATCACCATTAAGCCTATACTAAATAAAACGCTAGTGGGTATTTTTTAGGTAGAAAAGCCTCAGATGGAAGCTCCAAAAAACTAGGAAAGAATGGCAAAAACAAAAATATGAGGCTGGGCATGGTGGCTCACGCCCTTTAATCCCAGCACTTTGGGAGGCCGAGGCAGGCGGATCACAAGGTAAGGAGATCCAGACCATCCTGGCTAACACGGTGAAACCCTGTCTCTACTAAAAATACCAAAAATTAGCCGGGCATGGTGGTGGGTACCTGTAGTCCCAGCTACTCGGGAGGCTGAGGCAGGAGAAGGGCTTGAATATAGGAGGCGGAGCTTACAGTGAGTGGAGATCACGCCACTGCACTCCAGCCTGGGCGACAGAGTGAGACTCTGTCTCAAAAAAAAAAAAAAAGTATTGTAAATATAAATGAATTTTAATAATATAAAACAAAAATGGTGCCTTATGGGATTTAAAATATATGAGGAACTAAAACTCATATGTCAAGAATATAGAAATCAGGAGTGGGTAAAAAGAAATATTCTCAGGCCCTTATTTTGTCGGGAAGATGTGAAAGAACTGACCTATTTTAGCCTTTGATTAATAAAGAATGTGTATTACAAATTCTAGGGTAAGAACTAAAAGAATAATAGAAGAACATATAGCTACCAAATTAATAGAAGGTAAAAATTAAGCAATAAAAATGCTGTATCAAATTGATACAGACTGAAAAATTGGATAAAGAGTCAAGACCCAACAGTGTGTTGTATTCAGGAAACCCATCTCACGTGCAGAGACAAACATAGGCTCAAAATAAAGGGATGGAGGAAGATCTACCAAGCAAATGGAAAAAAAAAAGGCAGGGGTTGCAATCCTAGTCTCTGATAAAACAGACTTTAAACCAACAAAGATCAAAAGAGACAAAGAAGTTCATTACATAATGGTAAAGTGATCAATTCAACAAGAGCTAACTATAGTAAATATATATGCATCCAATACAGGAGCACCCAGATTCATAAAGCAAGTCCTTAGAGACCTACAAAGAGACTTAGACTCCCACAAAATAATAATGGGAGACTTTAACACTCCACTGTCAACATTAGACAGATCAACAAGATAGAAAGTTAACAAGGATATCCAGGAATCAAACTCAGCTCTGCACCAAGCGAACCTAATAGACATCTACAGAACTCTCCACTCCAAATCAACAGAATATACGTTCTTCTCAGAACCACACTGCACTTATTCCAAAACTGACCACATAGTTGGAAGTAAAGCACTCCTCATGCTCTTCATGAAAGATTCAGCTAGATAATCTAGATAACTTGCTACAGCTTCTACATTTGCACTTCCTGCTTCGCCTCGTACGTTTATGTCATGGAGATAGCTTCTTTCCTTAAACCTCATGCATGAATCTCTGCTAGCTTCCAACTGTTCATCTGCAGCTTCCTAACCTCTCTCAATCCCAATACAATTGAAGAGAGTTAAGGCCTTTCTCTGGATTAGGCTTTGGCTTAAGGGAATGCTGGGGCTGGTTTGATCTTCTATCCAGACCACTAACACTTCTCCATACCAGCAGAAAGCCTTTTGTGGTTTCTTATCACTCATGTGATCACTGGAGTAGCACTTTTCATTTCCTGTAAGAACTTAATTTTTATTTTGCATTCACTACTTGGTTAACTGTTTGGAACAGGAGGACTAGCTCAGCTTTCAACTTGTCTTCCTCACTAAGCTTAATAGTTTCTAGCTTTCAATTTAAAGTGAGAGACATGTGACTCTTTCATTCACTTGAACACATAGAAGCCATTGTGGAATTATTAATTGGCCTAATTTCAGTATTTTTTGTCTCAGGTAATAGAGAGGCCTGAGGGGAAGGAAAGAGATAGGGGAATGGCCAGTGAATAGAGCAATAAGAATACACATAATATTTATTGATTATGTTCACCATCTTGTATGAGCATGGTTTGTAGTACCCCCAAACAATTATAATAGTAACACCAAATATCAGTGATCACAGACCACCATAACAGATATAATTTAAAAGTTTGAAATATTGCAAGAATTACCAATGTGTGACACAAACGTGCTTAAAGCAGGGTTGTCACAAACCTTTAATTTGTAAAAAACATAGTATCTGCAAAGCATAGTAAAGCAAAGCACAATTAGAAATGCCTGTATATGTGTTAGCTGTTATTACTGTGGCTACTTATTTATCCATCCTCATAAATCATTGAACCAATATTTAGTTTTTGTTTTGTTTTGTTTTTTTGAGATGGGTGTCTCTCTGTCGCCCAGGCTGGAGTGCAGTGGTGCGATCTTAGCTCACTGCAACCTCTGCCTCCTAGGTTCAAGCGATTATCTTATTCAGCCTCCTGAGTACCTGGGTCTACAGGCGTGTGCCACCACATCCTCCTAATTTTTTTTTTATTTTTAGTAGAGATGGGGTTTCACCATGTTAGCCAGGTTGGTCTCGATCTCCTGACCTTGTGATCCGCCTGCCTCAGCCTCCCAAAGTGCTGGGATTACAGGCGTTAGCCACCCCGCCCAACCCAATATTTAGTTCTTATTAAACTTTTTATTTTGAAAGAATTGTAGATCCACATGCAGTTGTAAGAAATAACAGAAAGATTCCATAGACTCTTTACCTAGTTTCCCCAATGATGAAATCTCACAAAATTTTAGTACAATTTCACGATCAGGATCTTGACATTGATACAGTCAAAATTCAGAACATTTTCACCACCATAAGGATCCCTTTTGTAAATACAAACTCTTTCTACCCTTAACTTCTTCTTACCCTATGGACACTGCTTATTTGTCCCCTCTTAAAAAAACAAAAAGTGTCATTTCAAGAAGGTTATATAAATGGACTAACACAATTATATAACCTTTTGGAACTGGCTTTTATCACTTATGTAATTCTCTTGAGATTTATCCAAGTTGTTGCATGTATAGTTGTTCCCCTTTTCTTTTTGCCGAATAGTAGTCCATGATATGGATATATCACAATTTTTCTTTAACCATTCACCCATTGAAGGACATCTGGGTTGATTCTTGTTTTTGGCTATTACAAATAGAGCTGCTTTTTTTAAAAAAAAATATTTGCACGGTTTTTTTGCAAATATAAATTTTCTTTTCTCTGGGATTAGTGTCTGTAACAGAATTTTATGGTACTGGCTCATATGGTAGTTGCATGCTTCATTTTTTTAAAAAGCTGTCAAACTGTTTTTAAAATGGCAAACCATTTTACATTGCAACAATATATGAGTGATTAAGCTTTCTTACATCCTTGTCAGCATCCTGTGTTATCACTGTTTGTTATTTTAGCCATTCTGACAGATATTTAAGTGATATCTCATTGTGGTTTTAATTAAAATTTCCTTAATGATTAACAATGCTGAATGTCCTTTCATGTGTTTATTTGTTATCTGTAGGTCTGTTTCAGTGAAATGTCTGTCCATGTCTTTTGTCCATTCCAATTGGGTAATATTTTTTCACTGTTTAGAGAATTATTTATATATTCTAGATATTAATTCTTATCTAAATAAGTAGTTTTCAAATATTTTTCTCTCAGTCTGTAGTCTCTTATGGAGCAAAGTTTTCAGATTTTGATGAAGTAAAATATATCACTTTTTTTTATTCAGTAGATTATGCTTTTGGCGTCAACTCCGAGAATTGTTTGCCTAGCCCTAGATCCTAAAGATTGTCTTCTATTAAATAGTTTTATGTTTTACATTTAAGTCTGTTGATTCATTTTGAGTTAATTTTTGCATATGAAGTGATAGTCAAGGTTTTTTCTTTTTAATTGCCTGGGATATCTAAGTTGTTCCAGCACAATTTGTTGAAAAGACTATCCTTGCTATATTGAATTGCTTTTGAACCTTTATCAAAAATCAGTTGGCCTAACTCGTGTGGGGCTATTTCTGTGTTCTCTATTCTGTCCCATTAATCTTATGCCGATTCCCATGCCAATATCATATGGGATTGATTACTGTAGACATGTAAATCTTGAAATTGGGTAGACTGATTCCACCTAACTTCTTGTTTTAGCTCTTTTATTTCCTTTGTTTTCTCTACAAATTTTAGAATAATCTTTACTATATCTACAAAAAATATTGCTTGGATTTTGACAGGAATTATGTTAAACCTGTATATCAATTTGGGGAGACTTGATATCGTTACTATGTTTAAAAACCTATTTTACACATAACACACTGGAAGATCCTGTGAGCCTGCATTTGTGATATAACTTCATTTTTATGATACAATAAACTCAAAATCTAATCAGGTAATGACATATCCGAATAAAAACAAGATAGTAGTTAATTAGTAATATGCCAGAATATTTCAGGAGCACAAGGCAATTTCCAGATGCTTGATACAGAAAACTAAGAGTTTCTCAAAGTTCACTTCTTTCCCTCTTTGGTTTCACCACCTTTTCTTCCTTTTGTGAACATACCAGATTGTTTTCTGCCTTAGTGCATTTGTATCTGTCAATCCCTAGAAAACTTCACTCCCAGCCTCTATGTGGTTGGCTCTTCTTATATTCAGTTGTCAGTTTAAATGACGCTTCTTCAATGTAGTCCTCCCTGATTATATCCAATCTAAGTAACTTACCACGCACTGTAACATCAACCTATTTTATTTATAGCACTTACCTTTATAATACTTACCACTATCTCCTTTTTATTATGAATAGTATATCTGCTGTCCCCCAAAATTGTTCACTAGAACCTGATGTCTTTAAGAGCAGGGACCATTTTGTTTCTTTTGCTACTAAATCCCTTCTTCCTAGCACAGAGCCTGATACACAGTGGGTGCTATCTTTCTGTCAAATGGGTGAATGGATGAATTAGTACAGTTTGTTTAAGGCAAAGAAGACAGAAGGCAATTTGAAGAGACCATGGCTTAATCAAAAGCTTGAAGGCAAGAATAATGCTTTGAGCTCCAGTGAGCAAAGCAGTATAAGAAGGAAAATAGTTTTTAATGAGAACATTGTGCTTAATTGTGGAGGGCTTTGAACCTCTAAAGTAGGTGCTTTTACTTTATCTTGAAGGTAATAGGCATGCTTTTAACAAGGTTGACATACTGATTTAAGAAAATTAAGAGGGAACAATACAACAAATTAGGGTGAGGGCCAGAGACCCGAAGCAGAAGCAAGATTGCTGTTGGGAATAATAAATGTGATAATATTGCTGTGATATGAGAAGACTTAGATGGTGGTGGTATTAGTCATCATAGAAAGGAAACTCAGCTTAGAGAAAACTTGAAAGTTGAGCCTTCTTCAGCTACACCTGCTTACCTGTCTGATCAGTTAAAGCAATAGTGCTGACGAATCTGTGAAATAATTTTATAACACATCAGTGTCACATTTCTTTTATTTTTATTTGCAAATATATCCTTCCCGTGTTGAGAAATTTTTACAGGTAGACTTATTCTACCTGACTGTGAATGAGGCCGATTTCTTCCAGTTTAGTTGTACACAAAGCCATTTTGTGTTAATAAACTTGTTTCCTCACTTTAGAACAGGAGATTTGTTGAATTGACCTAGAAAAGGCTATTTATTTGAAATAGAAGACAATCATAGGAACTTTATTTACTTCTAGGCACTCCACTGTGTCATACTGAGAATGTTTTATACGTTTAGGCCTTATTCTATTTTAGTATATCATTTGATTTAAAATGGGAAATAATGCTCACTGGGGTCCCTGATCTTCTATCCCAGGAGGTTTTGTGGTTCATTGTTCATTTTGCTCAATATGTGCTCCTGCAGTTGTATATGGCAGTCTTATAAAGTGGGGTCAGCCTGGGATAGCAACAAAGGGCTTTTCTTGTGAAGGGCTGCTCTTAGCTCATCTGTTTTACTCACACCCCAAACAAAAATTCCAAAACCATCCACTGGCATCAGGATTTCTAGGCCAGAGTCTTTTTGCTGTGAATAATTGCCATGATTTTCAAGGACTGTTCTATATTCTTTTCAGTCAATTCTTAAACCTAGCAAAATAATGTTCTTTGATACCAACTACCAAGAAGCAGTTGCTATAGGAAAACCAAATAGTCCTGACATTTCTACTTACCAGGTTTCACTTACAGTTCATTTCAGAGTGTGACAATTAGAAGCAACAAGGAAGGGCTTTGTTTTGTTTTTCCAGGTTCATTTCAAGGAACACTACACACAGCCTGCCTACACGGTTGTTTGGTTAAAGAAAATGTTTCCACTTATACTACAGCTGCATTGTAATGGAAAATTGCTCTGGGTGCCAAACCCACCAAGAACATTAACATCACCAAAGACGACCTCTGTACTTGACTACTGTACATTTTTCCTTGCAATTTTTCAGCCACTAGTTATAAAGTGTAGCAGTTCTCTGAAGTAGGACTAAAGCAGTCAACGTCAATTTATCCCCACTCTCTGTTGATAAGCAGCAAGATGCTTTCTAAAATGTAAGGTAAATAGTTTCACAGGGAAGCAAAGCAAGGAAATCCTGTCAGAATTGGCTGACTGGCCTCAGATTCACACCTTTGCACTGAGATTTGCTCTACAGAGTATTCATAATGGTTATTAAAGATGACTTGGAAGGTTAAAAAGACCAACAGAGACACTGCAGCTTCAAGGGCTGTTTTGACACTCCTTACTAGAGTTTCCTATTAGGTAGTATTAAAGATATTATTACTTATACATGTTATTGTTAGTTAAATTACAGTATATCTCTCATTCAATTTCACACTGGAGAAATTTGAAAACTTCTAACAGACAAGGAAATTATTATGTAAGGACTTGCATGTTAAAAACTAATCCAAGAAATGAATGATTCATCTTCAGTACGCATGAAAGGCACCATGTTATTAGTCTAATACATAAATAACAGAAATGAATTATCTCATATCTATATGTAGCTTTGTCTGGATATATCAGCTCCTGGGATCATATTTATGAGTTGATGAACATAATGTAATTATATAATATTCATTATGGTTTCATTGAACAAAAGTGGAGAAATTATCTTCATATTTAAACTTTAAGGTAAAACCCTCAGTTTAATAAAAAGATTTTGGCTTTTTGTTTTAGAGGGATTTACAGTACTAATCAGTGGATAGAGTTCACATTAGCATCCAGTGACATTGCTTTGTCTGTATATATTCCTAGCTGTCAACAGAATGTCGTGAGGCAATTGCATCCTGATTCTATAGCTATCTTCTATGCTTTTATAATACACAAGGGTCTAATTTTCCATCAGCAGAGCACGAAATCATGTAAGAATGCCATATAACCAGCATGCGCAAACAAGTAGCACTTTTTCTACACATAAAAATGCTTCATAAAATAACAGATAAATTAAATCTTCTTGTTCAAGTAAAGAGCTTGGAAATCATGACCTTTTATTAAAAAAATAGTTTTTTTTTTTTTGCACAGAGCTGACACTGTCATGTAATTCAACTAAATTTGTTCACCACCTTACATGTTAATATGTGTGACCACTTCATTTTTCTTTGGTTTACAGTGGAACTGTTTTATATCAGGAATATTTTATGGTTATGAATAACGGGCACGTTAACTTCATTAAGATCAGTATTTAGCAATTATCAAATTAACAAAGTGATGACTGGAGGATATGACTTGTATCCAACTATATTAGCTTTAACACTCATTCAACACTTTGTAGTCAAAGGACATAGAAACCAAGTATTCCATCTTTATTTATTCATATTTTGGGTACAGTGGGACAGGCAGTCAAAGTAAACATGAATCCTCAAAAATGACATTATAAAACATACTAAATGATGCATTCAAGATTTCCCTTCCCTCTCTGGAACATATCTAAGTTTGACAAACTGTTTGAAATTATCAATTCAATGATGCCCTTAAAAGGGTTAGCTCTGGCATATATTTAAAATACATTCAAGACATATGTCTCTTCTGCTGGAAGAACTACAGAAAGCTCAGTTTAACATCAGTGAGATGATTGAAACTGCTTAAATTATCATTCTCTATATGCATCTCATATTTCTACAACTTCAGGGTATTTTTAAACATTCTTTCTACATAATGTACAATTTACTTAGCACGTGGCATTCATATGTCTAGCTGTAAAATAACTTGTTGTAATTTAAGCAAACATGTTTTAAATAAAAGGTAGCTAAGGCTTCTAATCTCTGATGTATTGAGTGCAATGAAAGCTTCCATAAAAATGGATTTCCTGGGCAGCCAAAGACCACAGAGGCTCCCCTTAAGAAATACATTAATATATGATTTACCCTCATGCATTTCAATAAATCTGACCAATTTAACCAATGATGTGATGCCATTAACAAACTAGACTAAAAACAGAGGAGCAGGAAAAAATAGGGCACTTATTTTTGCCCATGAAATCATTTTTGTTTGCTTCTGTTTTTCAAACATTAGCAATGGATGTAACAGCAATGTTACAACTGCTTTTTTAAAAAATAGACTTAGTGAGTTATAATTGACATCAAATACAATGTATATGTTTAAAGGGCACAATTTGATAAGTTTTGACATACGTGTACATTGGTAAAATAATCACAATACAGATAATGAACATATTCTACTTCTCCAAAAGTTTCATTGTATCACTTTATAATTCCTTTCTTCCTATCCACCCTACAGCCCCCACTTGGTCTCCAGGAGCCTAAGTAGCAAATCTTCCACAAATGTATCTCTTAGATGGCATATAGACAATGCATTGCACAGATATCAGTTTTCCGACAGTAAACATTAGTTTGCATTTTCCAGAATTTTATATAAATGAAATATAGTATGTACTTTTTTTGTCTGATTTCTTTCACTTTCCATAATTGAGATTCATACCTATTGAATAGAAATAGGAGCACATATCAATAGTTATTTTTTTTATTGTGGTACAGGGTTCCATTTTATAGATGTACCATGGCCTATTTATCCATTCACCTGTTAAAGGATGGTGGGTTGCTTCCACTCTGGAGCTCCTAAATGAAGGTGCTATGAGCATTCATGTATAAGTCTTTGTATAGACTTGTGCTTTCATTTTCTTTGAGTAATTGCCTAAACATGAAATAGCTGGATTATATGTTAAATGTACCTCTAACTTTAAGAAAATGCCAAGCTATTTTCCAAAGTAATTGCAGCATTTTACATCCCTCCAAGAAATGTATGAGAGATTCAGTTTCTTTATATCATCACTAATACTTGGTATGGTCAGTCTTTTTCACTTTTATTATTCCAATAAGTGTATACTGGTATCTCATTGTGGTTTCAATTACTATTTCCCTATTGATGCTGGGCATTTTTTCCATCTGTTTATTTGCCATCCATATATCCTCTTTGATAAAATGTCTATTCCAACATTTTGCCCATTTTTATGGGGTTGTTTTCTTACTACCTTTAAAAATCCTTACTATATTCTGGATACGAGTGTTTTTATCAGAGGTATGACTTGTTAATATTTTCTCCTGCTATGTGATAATGAAGACAACTTTAGCCCAAAACCATGACAAGGTAATCTGGGAGTGTTTTTAAATTTTAGTCTTTGGCAGGTGAGTAAAGTCAACTTTCAATTAAAGGAAATCTATAGTTGAGCAAAAAAATCACTTCCTGCCAGCTACAAATCCTGGAAAGAGACCTGAAATGGCTGATAATTGTTTCATCTTTAATTTTTAAGTTAGTCAATATTATGGTCAGATGAAATAAGTTGTAAGGCTTCTTTTATTTTCTCACCAAATTTTGTATATACCTCTATTAAAAGCTTTTGTGGGATTGTGATAGCTTGTTTCCACATCTATAGTCCCACTGCTCTTGTGTTTCTTGGGGCAGATGCCTTGCTTCTTTGAACTTCATATCTCCACAATCTAACACAATGCTTGACACTAGCAGGTACACAACAAGGGGTTAGTGAATGAATTAAAAGACCCTTATTCTATATTGTTAGTACATTTGGCAAAAATCAACTGACACTTTCAAATTCCTCCTTCTCCCTCCAAGCTGTACTAAGTGGTATCAGTCCCAAACACTGAGTGATAACCTAAGAAAAAGTAGTTATCTAGAGTTCAGAAATGGCTGTTGCCATGATCGCTAAATAAAGAAAACACATGTTTAGTTCCTAAATAAGTACTGAACGAGAAAATAAAGTGCTACAAACTCTTTTGTATTCTAAATACCAGAATTGGGCTGGTCTATGTCAAAGAATGAATAAGATTATTTTCCGTAGAGAAAAACAATCCTCTGGAGATTGTGAAAATAATTTTTCACAATGTCTAGGAATTCTGGCCACCATCTTCCCTTACAGCCATATTTTCTCTAGGCCAGTGATCTTAATTTTTTTTTTGCTTTTATAGTGTAGTATTTGTTTTCCTGAATGGGCATTAAAACAAATGCCCAGTGGCCTATTATTTTGACCAATGAGGTGAATTGGCTTCTATAGTCCTTTATGAACCTACAATGCCCATCCTATATACCAAATTCTCTCTGAGTAGGGGAAGCTGTGAAATGACTACAAGAGATTTATTAAGCCAAAGGTCTCCTAAGTTGACACACAGATAGCATAACAAAATAGTTGCATATATATGTTTTCAAATATATAGGTACCAGGCTGAAGCCATTTCAGCAGTGAGCCACAGGGTAGGAGTTCTTTTGGCTCTTGGTTACACTGTAGCCTGGAGATAAACAGTGTCTGATCGATCTGAGAATTCCAAGTGCCAGACGGGGGACATGAGAAGGAAACAGATCATTTCTTTCCTGCCCAGGCCATGGAGCTGGGCAGTCCCCTCCACCACCTGTGGAGTTCCACCATCACCCCTCAGGGCCATTGATTGTATTCTCCACTGGGGTATCTGAGGGTGACTTGGTGGTCCAACCCTGCCCAGCTTTGTCCCTCACGTTCAGGGCTGAGCAGGAAGCTCAGGCCACTGTGCATTCTATGGACCAGCCCACTGCTTAAAGCAAAAGATACATTCTCCCAGCAAACAAAAATCAAGCATATACCCATCTGTTATTCTTGCAGCTGCCTTTTACCTGCAAGTACCACCTACAGACTTGGAGGTCAACAGCACAATCCAATACAAACTTTGCTAACACAAGTGCACTGTGCTGGAGAATGAAATAACCTCTTGAGACCTCTGCTATCCTGGCACTGCAGAAGGAAGTGAGCCTGCTCACTCATCTAGTATATCACTACTATAATCAGCATTTGAGACAAACACAACAGTAAACCTGTCTATAACACAGAAACTTACATGGTGTCTTCACCACTGAACACACCCAGAGCCAAAGCCAAATGACTCTACATAACATACACCATAATTACACCCCGAAGGGAAAAAATCCTATCCAAATGAAAGTCAATTTAAAAATAACAAGAAGAGATAGTTTTTCCAAATGAGAAGGAGTTGGCAAAACAATTCTGGAATAATAGAAAACAAAAAACAAAAACAAAGAGGGGAGGAGCCAAGATGGTCGAATAGGAAAAGATCCGGTCTACAGCTCCCAGCATGAGCGATGCAGAAGACGGGTGATTTCTGCATTTCCATCTGAGGTACCAGGTTCATCTCACTAGGCAGTGCCAGACAGTGGGCTCAGGTCAGTGGGTGCGCGCACCATGCGCGAGCCGAAGCAGGGCGAGGCATTGCCTCACTTGGGAAGGGCAAGGGGTCAGGGAGTTCTCTTTCCCAGTCAAAGAAAGGAGTGACAGACGGCACCTGGAAAATCGGGTCACTCCCACCCGAATACTGCGCTTTTCCGACAGGTTTAAAAAAAACGGCGCACCTGGAGATTATATCCTGCACCTGGCTCGGAGGGTCCTACACCCACGGAGTCTCGCTGATTGCTAGCACAGCAGTCTGAGATCAAACTACAAGGTAGCAGCCAGGCTAGGGGAGGGGCGCCCGCCATTGCCCAGGCTTGCTTAGGTAAACAAAGCAGCCGGGAAGCTAGAACTGGGTGGAGCCCACCACAGCTCAAGGAGGCCTGCCTGCCTCTGTAGGCTCCACCTCTGGGGGCAGGGCACAGACAAACAAAAAGACAGCAGTAACCTCTGCAGACTTAAATGTCCCTGTCTGACACCTTTGAAGAGAGCAGTGGTTCTCCCAGCACACAGCTGGAGATCTGAGAACGGGCAGACTGCCTCCTCAAGTGGGTCCCTGACCCCTGACCCCCAAGCAGCCTAACTGGGAGGCAGCCCCCAGCAGGGCACACTGACACCTCACATGGCAGGGTACTCCAACAGACCTGCAGCTGAGGGTCCTGTCTGTTAGAAGGAAAACTAACAAACAGAAAGGACATCTACACCAAAAACTCATCTGTACATCACCATCATCAAAGACCAAAAGTAGATAAAACCACAAAGATGGGGAAAAAAACAGAACAGAAAAACTGGAAACTCTAAAAAGCAGAGTGCCTCTCCTCCTCCAAAGGAAAGCAGTTCCTCACCAGCAACGGAACAAAGCTGGATGGAGAATGACTTTGACGAGCTGAGAGAAGAAGGCTTCAGACGATCCAATTACTCTGAGCTACGGGAGGACATTCAAACCAAAGGCAAAGAAGTTGAAAACTTTGAAAAAAATTTAGAAGAATGTATAACTAGAATAACCAATACAGAGAAGTGCTTAACAGAGCTGATGGAGCTGAAAACCAAGGCTCGAGAACTATGTGAAGAATGCAGAAGCCTCAGGAGGTGATGCGATCAACTGGAAGAAAGGGTATCAGCGATGGAAGACAAAATGAATGAAATGAAGTGAGAAGGGAAGTTTAGAGAAAAAAGAATAAAAAGAAATGAGCAAAGCCTCCAAGAAATATGGGACTATGTGAAAAGAC
This sequence comes from Homo sapiens, assembly GCF_000001405.40. Classification (NCBI taxonomy): domain Eukaryota; kingdom Metazoa; phylum Chordata; class Mammalia; order Primates; family Hominidae; genus Homo; species Homo sapiens. The sequence continues at coordinate 115,172,415 of NC_000007.14, read as the reverse complement.
CAAATCTACGTCTGATTGGTGTACCTGAAAGTGACGGGGAGAATGGAACCAAGTTGGAAAACACTCTGCAGGATATTATCCAGGAGAACTTCACCAATCTAGCAAGGCAGGCCAACCTTCAGATTCAGGAAATACAGAGAACACAACAAAGATACTCCTCGAGAAGAGCAACTCCAAGACACATAATTGTCAGATTCACCAAAGTTGAAATGAAGGAAAAAATGTTAAGGGCAGCCAGAGAGAAAGGTCGGGTTACCCTCAAAGGGAAGCCCATCAGACTAACAGCAGATCTCTCGGCAGAAACTCTACAAGCCAGAAGACAGTGGGGGCCAATATTCAACTTTCTTAAAGAAAAGAATTTTCAACCCAGAATTTCTTATCCAGCCAAACTAAGCTTCATAAGTGAAGGAGAAATAAAATACTTTACAGAAAAGCAAATGCTGAGAGATTTTGTCACCACCAGGCCTGCCATAAAAGAGCTCCTGAAGGAAGCGCTAAACATGGAAAGGAACAACCAGTATCAGCCACTGCAAAATCATGCCAAAATGTAAAGACCATCGAGACTAGGAAGAAACTGCATCAACTAACGAGCAAAATAACCAGCTAACATCATAATGACAGGATCAAATTCACACATAACAATATTAACTTTAAATGTAAATGGACTAAATGCTCCAATTAAAAGACACGGACTGGCAAATTGGATAAAGAGTCAAGACCCATCAGTGTGCTGTATTCAGGAAACCCATCTCACGTGCAGAGACACACATAGGCTCAAAATAAAAGGATGGAGGAAGATCTACCAAGTAAATGGAAAACAAAAAAAGGCAGGGGTTGCAATCCTAGTCTCTGATAAAACAGACTTTAAACCAACAAAGATCAAAAGAGACAAAGAAGGCCATTATATAATGGTAAAGGGATCAATTCAACAAGAAGAGCTAACTATCCTAAATATATATGCACCCAATACAGGAGCACCCAGATTCATAAAGCAAGTCCTGAGTGACCTACAAAGAGACTTAGACTCCCACACATTAATAATGGGAGACTTTAACACCCCACTGTCAACATTAGACAGTTCAATGAGACAGAAAGTCAACAAGGATACCCAGGAATTGAACTCAGCTCTGCACCAAGTAGACCTAATAGACATCTACAGAACTCTCCACCCCAAATCAACAGAATATACATTTTTTTCAGCACCACACCACACCTATTCCAAAATTGACCACATAGTTGGAAGTGAAGCTCTCCACAGCAAATGTAAAAGAGCAGAAATTATAACAAACTGTCTCTCAGACCACAGTGCAATCAACTAGAACTCAGGATTAAGAATCTCACTCAAAACAGCTCAACTACATGGAAACTGAACAACCTGCTCCTGAATGACTACTGGGTACATAACGAAATGAAGGCAGAAATAAAGATGTTCTTTGAAACCAACGAGAACAAAGACACAACATACCAGAATCTCTGGGATGCATTCAAAGCAGTGTGGAGAGGGAAATTTATAACACTAAATGCCCACAAGAGAAAGCAGGAAAGATCCAAAATTGACACCCTAACATCACAATTAAAAGAACTAGAAAAGCAAGAGCAAACACATTCAAAAGCTAGCAGAAGGCAAGAAATAAATAAAATCAGAGCAGAACTGAAGGAAATAGAGACACAAAAAACTCTTCAAAAAATTAATGAATCCAGGAGCTGGTTTTATGAAAGGATCAACAAAATTGATAAACCGCTAGCAAGACTAATAAAAAGAGAGAAGAATCAAATAGACACAATAAAAAATGATAAAGGGGATATCACCACCGATCCCACAGAAATACAAACTACCATCAGAGAATACTACAAACACCTCTATGCAAATAAACTAGAAAATCTACAAGAAATGGATAAATTCCTCGACACATACACCCTCCCAAGACTAAACCAGGAAGAAGTTGAATCTCTGAATAGACCAATAACAGGATCTGAAATTGAGTCAATAATCAATAGCTTACCAACCAAAAAGAGTCCAGGACCAGATGGATTCACAGCCGAATTCTACCAGAGGTACAAGGAGGAACTGGTACCATTCCTTCTGAAACTATTCCAATCAATAGAAAAAGAGGGAATCCTCCCTAACTCATTTTATGAGGCCAGCATCATCCTGATACCAAAGCCAGGCAGAGACACAACAAAAAAAGAGAATTTTAGACCAATATCCTTGATGAACATTGATGCAAAATTCCTCAATAAAATACTGGCAAAACGAATCCAGCAGCACATCAAAAAGCTTATCCACCATGATCAAGTGGGCTTCATCCCTGGGATGCAACGCTGGTTCAATATACACAAATCAATAAATGTAATCCAGCATATAAACAGAACCAAAGACAAAAACCACACGATTATCTCAATAGATGCAGAAAAGGCCTTTGACAAAATTCAACAACCCTTCATGCTAAAAACTCTCAATAAATTAGGTATTGATGGGACGTATTTCAAAATAATAAGAGCTATCTATGACAAACCCATAGCCAATATAATACTGAATGGGCAAAAACTGGAAGCATTCCCTTTGAAAACTGGCACAAGACAGGGATGCCCTCTCTCACCACTCCTATTCAACATAGTGTTGGAAGTTCTGGCCAGGGCAATTAGGCAGGAGAAGGAAATAAAGGGTATTCAATTAGGAAAAGAGGAAGTCAAATTGTCCCTGTTTGCAGATGACATGATTGTATATCTAGAAAACCCCACTGTCTCAGCCCAATATCTCTTTAAGCTGATAAGCAACTTCAGCAAAGCCTCAGGATACAAAGTCAATGTACAAAAATCACAAGCATTCTTATACACCAACAAAAGACAAACAGAGAGCCAAATCATGAGTGAACTCCCATTCACAATTGCTTCAAAGAGAATAAAATACCTAGGAATCCAACTTACAAGGGATGTGAAGGACCTCTTCAAGGAGAACTACAAACCACTGCTCAAGGAAATAAAAGAGGATACAAACAAATGGAAGAACATTCCATGCTCATGGGTAGAAAGAATCAATATCGTGAAAATGGCCATACTGCCCAAGGTAATTTACAGATTCAATGCCATTCCCATCAAGCTACCAATGACTTTCTTCACAGAATTGGAAAAAACTACTTTAAAGTTCATATGGAACCAAAAAAGAGCCCGCATCGCCAAGTCAATCTTAAGCCAAAAGAACAAAACTTGAGGCATCACACTACCTGACTTTAAACTATACTACAAGGCTACAGTAACCAAAACAGTATGGTACTGGTACCAAAACCGATATAGATCAATGGAACAGAACAGAGCCCTCAGAAATAACGCCACATATCTACAACTATCTGATCTTTGACAAACCTGAGAAAAACAAGCAATGGGGAAAGGATTCCCTATTTAATAAATGGTGCTGGGAAAACTGGCTAGCCATATGCAGAAAGCTGAAACTGCATCCCTTCCTTACACCTTATACAAAAATCAATTCAAGATGGATTAAAGACTTAAACGTTAGACCTAAAACCATAAAAACCCTAGAAGAAAACCTAGGCATTACCATTCAGGACATAGCCATGGGCAAGGACTTCATGTCCAAAACACCAAAAGCAATGGCAACAAAAGACAAAATTGACAAATGGGATCTAATTAAACTAAAGAGCTTCTGCACAGCAAAAGAAACTACCATCAGAGTGAACAAGCGACCTACAGAATGAGAGAAAATTTTTGCAACCTACTCATCTGACAAAGGGCTAATATCCAGAATCTACAATGAACTCAAACAAATTTACAAGAAAAAAACAACCTCATCAAAAGTGGGCAAAGGACATGAACAGACACTTCTCAAAAGAAGACATTTATGCAGCCAAAAAACACATGAAAAAATGCTCATCATCACTGGCCATCAGGGAAATGCAAATCAAAACCACAATGAGATACCATCTCACACCAGTTAGAATGGCAATCATTTAAAAAGTCAGGAAACAACAGGTGCTGGAGAGGATGTGGAGAAATAGGAACACTTTTACACTGTTGGTGGGACTGTAAACTAGTTCAACCATTGTGGAAGTCAGTGTGGCGATTCCTCAGGGATCTAGAACTAGAAATACCATTTGACCCAGCCATCCCATTACTGGGTATATACCCAAAGGACTATAAATCATGCTGCTATAAAGACACATGCACATGTATGTTTACTGCGGCATTATTTACAATAGCAAAGACTTGGAACCAACCCAAATGTCCAACAATGATAGACTGGATTAAGAAAATTTGGCACATATACACCATGGAATACTATGCAGCCATAAAAAATGATGAGTTCATGTCCTTTGTGGGGACATGGATGAAATTGGAAATCATCATTCTCAGTAAACTATCACAAGAACAAAAAACCAAACACCGCATATTCTCACTCATAGGTGGGAATTGAACAATGAGAACACATGGACACAGGAAGGGGAACATCACACTCTGGGGCCTGTTGTGGGGTGGGGGGAGGGGGGAGGGATAGCATTGAAAGATATACCTAATGCTAGATGATGAGTTAGTGGGTGCAGCGCACCAGCATGGCACATGTATACATATGTAACTAACCTGCACATTGTGCACATGTACCCTAAAACTTAAAGTATAATAATTAAAAAAAAAACACAAAAAAATGGTATTATGACACCCCCAAAAAATCACACTAATCTCTAGCTACTGATCCTCACCCAAATGAAATCTTAGACATACCAGACAAAGAGTGCAAAATATTGATTTCAAAGAAGTTCAGTGAGATCCAAGACAAAGTCAGAAATGCAATGCGGGATATGAATGAAAAAATTACCAAAGAGACATGTATTATACCAAGCAGAAACAGCTATGCTTATATCAGATACATAACTTCTAGACATAAAAACTTAATTAAAAGAATGATAATATACAATTGAAATCTTTAACAATAGATAATGCCAAGCAGAATAAAGAATTTCAGAGCTTGAAGAGAGGTCTTTTAAATTAATCCAGTCAGAAAAACAGAAATAAGAAAAAAGAATTTAAAAAAAAAATGCCTTAAAGAGACATGGGTTTATGTAAAACATCCAAACCTATGAGTCAGGAATACCTGAAGGAAAATAAAAAGTTTGAAAAACCTATTTGAAAAAATAATTAAGGAAAACTTTCCTATTCTTGCTAGAGATGTAGACATCCAGATACAAGGGGCTCGGAGAATTCCAGAAAAATACATTTCAAGACAGACTTCACCAAAACATATAGACATCAGGTTATCTAAAGTCAGCATTAATGAAAAACCCTAAAATCAGCATGAGAAAAGTATCCAATTACTTATATAGGAAATCCTATTAGGCTGATACCGGACTTCTAAGCAGAAATCTTACAAGCCAGAAGAGATTGGGATCCTATTTTCAGATTTCTTAAAGAAAAAAACTATTAACTATAAGCATTGTATTGTGCTAAAATAAGCCTCATAACTAAAGGAGTAATAAAATGTTTCCCAGATAAGCCCATGCTAAGGGAATTCATCACCACTAGACTAGTCCTATAAGAAATATTCGAGAGACTTCTAAACATGAAAACAAAAAGTTGATACCTACCATCTTAAAAACACACAAATGTATAAGACTCACAGAGCTTATAAAACAATTACACAAATAAGACTGCAAAGCAACTAGATAACAATTAACATTAGGACAGGAAAAAAACCCTCACATATCAATATTAACTTTAAACATAAATGAATTAAATGCTCTACTTAAAAGATATAGACTAGTGAAGTTGATTTTTTTAAAAAATGTTCTATTATGTGGCTGCTAACAAGAAACTTATCTAATTGGTAGGTACTTGCAGACTGAAGGTAAATTATGGAAAAAGATATTCCACACAAATGGAAACTAATACCAAGCAGAAATAGCTTTGTTTATATAAGATAAAACAAACTTTAAATCAACAATAACAAAAAAGACAAAGTCATTATATAATGGCAAAGATCATTATCAGCACTAAACAGATGATCAAGGCAGAAAATCAACAAAGAAACATTAAACTTGAATTAGACTCTAGACCAAATTTATCCAGCAGAAATTTACAGAACAGTGTACCCAACAACTGCAGAATATCATCAGAATATCATTTTTCTTATCAATGCATGAAATATTTCCAAGATTAGGCCACAACACATGTCTCAATAAATTTATTAAGAAGCAAAATCATATCAGGTATCTTCCTAGACCACAGTGGAATAAAACTAGAAATAAATTATAAGAGAAACTCTCAAAACTATACAAATACATGGAAAGTAAAAAACCTGCTCCTGAATGATTGTTGGGTCATGGTGAAATTGAAATGGAAATTTAAAATTGTTAAAACAAAAAATAGAGACGCAACATACCAATATCTCTGGGATATAGCAAAAGCAGTGCTAAGAAGGAAGTTCAGAGTATTAAATGTCTACATCAAAAAGACAGAAAGATCACAAATTAAAAACCTAAAGTTGTACCTCAAGGAACTAAAAAAAAAAAGCAAGCAAAAACAAAGCCAAAGCTAACAGAAGAAAATAAATAGCAAATATAAAAATAGAACTAAATAAAATTGAAAAAATACAAAGGATTAATAAAACAAAATGTTTCTGTTTATCTCTTGTATTTCTGTGAACTTCTCTAGTCACAAACTAGAAAAATTAGAGGAAATAGATAAATTTCTGGAAACCTAAAACCTCCCAAAATTGAACTAGAAAGAAATAGAAATTCTGAACAGACCAATAATGAGTGATGAGATCGAATCAGTAATAAAAGAATACTTCCTGCCTCTTCAAAAATAGCACAGGACAAGAAGGATTCAAAGCTGAATTTTATCAGAAGTACAAAGAAGAACTAGTACCAATCTTACAGAAATTATTCCAAAAGCTTGGAAAGGAGGGAATCCTCCCTAACTCATTCTACAAATCCATTATCACCTCGATGCCAAAGCCAGGCAAAGAAAGAATTATAACCCAATATGCCTGATGACCATAGAAACAAAAGTCCTCAAAGTACAAACAAACTGAATCCAAAAGCACATCAAAAGTATAACATACTAAATCAAGTGGGTTCTATTCCAGGGACACAAAGATGGTTTAATATACATAAATCAATAGATTCAATTCACCAAATAAACAGAATTTAAGCCAAAAAAAACCATATGATGATGTCAATAGACACAGAGCATTTGATAAATGTCATCATTTCTTCATGATAAAAACCCTCACAAAACTAGACAACAAATAAAAAATAATAAAAGCCATATATGACAAACTCACAGCCAACATCATACTGAGCAGGAAAAAGTTAAAATTCCCCCTGTTAGCTGGAACAAGAAAAGGTTGCCACTTTCAGTCCTATTCAACATAGTACTCAAACTCTTGACCTTAGAGAAATCAGGCAAGAGAAAAAACTAAGAGGCATAAAAGCTGGAAAACATGAAGTCAAATTATCTCTGGTTGTTCATGATATAATCTTATACCTAGAAAACCCTAAAGACTCCTTTAAATGACTCCAAATTTAGTAAGTGAATTCAGCAAAGTTTCAGGATTAAAAAAAAATCAACATAAAAATTAGCTGGGTGTGGTGGTGGGCGCTTGTAGTCCCAGCTACTCAGGAGGCTGAGACAGGAGAATGGCGTGAACCTGGGAGGCAGGGCTTGCAGTGAGCCAAGATTGCATGACTGCACTCCAGCCTGGGTGACAGAGCAAGACACCATCTCAAAAAAAAAAATTATTAGCATTTTTATAAACCAATAACAGGCTGAGAACCAAGTCAAGACCTTAATCCTATTTAAAATAGCTACAAATACCCGCAAATCCTAGGAATACATTAATCAAGGACGTGAAAATTCTCTTAAAGGAAAACTACAAAACACTAAGAAATCGTAGATGACACAAACAAATAGAAAAACAACCTACACATATTGATTAGAAGAATCAATATCATTAAAATGATGATATTGTCCAAAGCAATACTGAACCACACTATCCATAAGCTTGGAGAGCCATAAACAGAAGAATAAAGCTGGGCCCATATTTCTCACCATATACAAAAATTAACTCAAGATAGATGATATGGTTTAGCTGTGTCCCCATCCAAATCTCATTTTGAATTGTAACTCCCAGTTTCCACATGTCATGGAAGGAACCCAGTGGGAGGTGATTGAATTATGGCAGTAGGTTTTACCTGAGTTGTTCTTGGCAGAGTGAAGGAGTCTCATGAGATCTAATGGTTTTAAAAATGGGAGTTTCCCTGCACAAGCTCTCTCTCTCTTGCCTGCCACCATCCATGTAAAATCTGACTTGCTCCTCCTTGCTTTCCACCATGTTTGTGAGGCCTCCCCAGCCATGTGGAACTGTAAGTCCATTAAACCTCTTTCTTCTGTAAATTGCCCAGTCTCAGGAATGTCTATCAGCAGTGTGGCAATAGACCAATACAATATTGGTACCAGTAGAGTAGAGCATTGCTGAAAACATACCCAAAAATGTGGAACTGACTTGGGGACTGAGTAACAGGCAGAGGCTGGAACAGTTTGGAGGGCTCAGAAGAAGAGACAAAAATGTGAGAAAGTTTGGAACTTCCTAGAGACATGTTGAATGGCTTTCACAAAAATGCCGATAATGATATGAACAATAAAGTCCAGGCTGAGGTGGTCTCAGATGGAGATGAGGAACTTGTTGGGAACTGGAGCAAAGGTGACTCTTGTTATATTTTAGCAAAGAGACTGGTGGCATTTTGCCCCTGCCCTAGAGATTCGTGGAACTTTGAACTTGAGAGAGATGATTTAGGGTATCTGGCAGAAGAAATTTCTAAGAAGCAAAGCATTCTGGAGGTGACTTGGGTGCTGTTAAAGGCATTAAGTTTTCTAAGGGAAGCAGAGAGTATAAGTTCAGAAAATTTGCAGCCTGACAATGTGATGGAAAAGAAAAACCCATTTTCTGAGGAGAAATTCAAGCCAGCTGTAGAAATTTGCATAAGTAACGAGGAGCTGAATGTTAATCCCCAAGACAATGGGGAAAATGTCTCTAGGGCATGTCAGAGATCTTCATGGAAGCCCCTCCTATCACAGGCCCAGAGGCCTAGGAGGTAAATACGGTTTCATGAGCTGGGCCAGAGTCCCCTTGCTGTATGCAGCCTAGGGACTTGGTACCCTGTGTCCCAGCCGCTCTAGCCATGAGTAAAAGGAGCCAAGGTACAGCTAAGTCCATGGCTTCAGAGGGTGCAAGTCCCAAGCCTTGGCAACTTCCATGTGGTGTTGAGCATGTGGGTACACAGAAGTCAAGAACTGAGGCTTGGAAATCTGTCTAGATTTCAGAGGATGTATGTAAATCCCTGGATGTCCAGGCAGTTTGCTACAGGGGTGGGGCTCTCATGGAGAACCTCTGCTAGGGCAGTGTGGAAGGGAAATGTGAGGCCGGGGCCCCCACATAGAGTCCCTACTGTGTGGGGACCACCTTGTGGAGCTGTGAGAAGAGGGCCACCATCCTCTAGACCCCAGTATGGTAGATCCACCAACAGTTTGCCCCATATGCCTGGAAAAGCTTCAGACACTCAACACCAGCCCATAAAAGCAGCCAGTAGGGAGGCTATACCCTGCAGAGCCACAGGGCTGGAGCTGCCCAAGACCATGGAAGCCCACCTCTTGCATCAGTGTGACCTGGATGCAAGACATGGAGTCAAAGGAGATCATTCTGGACCTTTAAGATTAGACTGCCCTGCTGGAATTTGGACTTGCATGGGGCCTGTAGTCCCTTTGTTTAGGCCAATTTCTCCCATTTGGAGTTACTGTATTTACCCAATCAATGCCTGTACCCCCACTGTATGTAGGAAATAGCTAACTTGCTTTTGATTTTACAGGCTCAAAAGCAGAAGGGACTTGCCTTGTCTCAGATGAGACTTTGGACTGTAGACTTTTGAGTTAATGCTGAACTGAGTTAAGACTTTGGGGAACTGTTGGGAAGGCATGATTGGTTTTGAAATGTGAGGACATGAGATTTGGTAGGAGCCAGGGGCAGAACGATATGGTTTGGCTGTGTCCCTACTCAAGCCTCATATTGAATTGTAACTCCCACAATTCTCATGCATCATGGGAGGAACAAGGTAGGAGGTGATCGAATTATGGGGACTGGTCTTTCCAGCGCTGTTCTCATGATAGTGAATGGGTCTCCCAAGATCTGATGGTTTTAAAAATGGGAGTTTCCTTGCACCAGCTCTCTCTTGCTTGCTGCCATCTATGTAAGATGTGACTTGCTCCTCCTTGCCTTCCATCATGATTGTGAGGCCTCCCCAGACATGTGGAACTATAAGTCCATTAAACTTCTTTCTTTTGTATATTGCCCAGTCCCAGCTATGTCTTTATCAGCAGTGTGAAAATGGAATAATGGTATGGATTAAAGACTTCAGGTTAAGATCTGAAACTATAAAAATTCTAGAAGAAAACCTAGGAAAAACTCTTCTGGACATTGGCCTTGACAAAAAAAAAATTATGACTAAGACCCGAAAGGCAAATGCAACAAAAATAAAAATAGACAAATGGGACTTAATTAAACTAAAAAGCTTCTGCACAACAAAAGATATTACTAACAGAGTAAAGAGACAACCTACAGAATGGGAGAAAATATTTACAAAGTAGGCATCGAACAATGGACTAATACCCAGAATCTGCCAGGAACTCAAACAATCCAACAAGGAAAAACAAATAATTTCATTAAAAAGTGGGCAAAGGACATTACAGACTCATTTAAACTTCATTTTTTAGATTTTATTACATGTGAAGCTGTCTTAAGACTTTAGATAATGCTAAATAAATGCCATGTACAAATGGTACCTTTGGTTGGAAACAAATATATGCTGATGATTATCAATTGAGTCCCGGTTAATTTGGCATAAATGCTATAAGACACAGATAAGTTTTTAAACTCTGGGAAAAAATATGACATTTAAAGAAGGAGATTAGGTTAAAAGTGTTTAAGCATTTTACAGAACTAATAATTTGCTCATCAATTAATGAAACAATCAAAATATGTATTAGCCAAAAATACTAATTTAGAAATCTATTATAGGCCTTGAACACCAAAAATAAAATCTTGCATGTTTGAAGTTATGCTTTCCCCATTTATTTTTATAAACGTTTAGATGTACTGCCCTACTTTTGCTACATATGAGGAAATGTGACAAGGAAAAAATATGCTCAAGAATGATTGTAAGGCCATACGTTTTCAAGCTGTCAAGAATTTAAATTATTCTAAAAAGTGTAGGACTGTTCATGAATAGGACGAAATGGAAACTAATAATAATATCCAAGAAAAATTTTCTTCATAAATTTTGAGGCAATTCCATCAAAAACTTAGATGAATGATATAAATAAGAAAACCATTGAGTGAAAATAAAAGCCTAAACTATGGCAGAAACTATGCAAGCACCCATAGTGTACTCTACAGATGTTTACAATGTACAAAGGCAGCGTGTCATCAAAGTAAGTTGTGTACATCTCACCAGGTTTCTCCTGGATTTCTATTAGTCAGCCAAGGAAAATCCAAAATATTTTTTCAAAGCAGATTACTGATATGAAAGAATTACTTCAACAAGATAACAGTAGAAATGGAATGAGAAAGAGAAGGTGACAGAAAGAATTGAAAGTGATAATGAAGCAGGAAGAAAGGCATAAACTTGAATTCAAATTTTTTTTAATTTGTAATCATGTGGTCATTACAAATGGCTTAAAATTATTCATTTTGTTTCTTAACTTGTAAACAAAGGAAGCTGTCTAATTTTTAGTCTATAAGTCAGCAGTCCCCAGCCTTTTTGGCACCAGGGACCAGTTTCGTGGAAGACAATTTTTCTGTGGAGGAGATGGGGGAGGTTTTCCGGATGAAACTGTTCCACCTCAGATCATCATGTATTAGATTCTTATAAGAAACGCACAACCTAGATCTCTCGCATGCGCAGTTCACGGTAGTGTTTGTGCTCCTATGAGAATCTAATGCCTCACTGACCTGACGGGAGGCAGAGCTCAGGCGGTAATGCTCGCTGGCCTGCCACTCACTTCCTGCTTTGCAGCCTGGTTCCTAAAAGGCCATGAACTGGTACATGGCCTAGGGGAATCTTTGCTCTAAATGATTGCACCTTCATGAATTCCAAACTTTTCTTCAATTTATGGAAGCATAGAACAAGAGAATGCCTACTTGCAGCCTAAAGTGGGAGGGAGATCATTGATGGCACTGGATAAATTCATTCTTGGAAAGCAAGTCAGGTGTCAACAGCTACACTCCATCATTTCATTTGGAGAAGGGAAGGAAAAAAGTATCCATCTTTTCAGAATGCCCCTTCAGCTCTGCACTTGCAGTGCAAAGGTTAAAAAGAGATGGCAACCACACAAACACTATCAGGCCACTGATCGCCTGAAGGAGAAATGTCCACCCAGGAAACTAGATGGCTATAGGATTAATACAAGAAATACTCAAATCCTTGTGTACACTAAGTACTTTCTGTTGCTGAATAAATAAAAATATAATTTAAGTTCATGTAAAAGGAGTATTCAGCCTAGAAAAAGGAGGACGTCTGACCAATTGATGTTTACTTCATTCATTGGTGGAGGGTGTACTATACTACTGGCCCTGTAACAAAAAGATGAATTGAATACAATCTCTGCCCCCTGGGGACTCCAGTCTGCTCTGGTAGACTGGCAGGTCCCTGAGCATGTTTTTGCCAATAAAGAATTAAAATCTCTCAGTATACTCCACTTCTTTTACCTCTATTTCCTCTCTAAAGGGAAAGACAGAGTCTTCATTCCCCAGGTATATAAATTCTATTTCTTGTGTCTAAGGAAGAGTGATCTCATGGTTGCATTAAATAAAAATAATAGTCTTTACTAGCTTGCTGCTGGGTAACAGAGACAAATCTTTCTTCTCGTTGTGATTGTTATTTTTGCTTTTGCACAAGATCTTATTCTACATACTTTTCAGAAAACATGATTTGAACTGCAGAACGCTAACATTCCTGTAATGATGAGATTTGTTACATGGAAGCCCACTGACACACTGCTAAATATTAGTCTGTTCTTCTCCCTACAGATAGAATGTCATTGGCAAATGAGAATCAATTGTACTTACAAAAACTCTAATTCAAAAAATTCAAAATGTCCCTAAGTAACTTCTTCAATTCTACCCCAGGCAGGAAATTTCTATCTTTAACTTCTCATGTTTAAGTTATGCCTTTTTCCTTCTGACCATATGGATTTCAAATGGCAAATCACTCTCTGTAATTTATCATGTCTTTAAAAGCATAAAATGTAATCATATTTACTATGTCCTATGCAAATGCAATGACAATTAGTATCTCAATAGTGGATAACCTTCAGAGATATCTCCAAATTCAGGTATATTTCTTTACTAGTTGAGTATTTCAATTTTAGAGAAGGGGGATTTTGCCTTAATTTCAAATGCCTAGGTAGTTTTCTGTAATTTCTAGGTGAGATTTTTCAAAATTACATGTATAATGTTAGGCTTAGGGAACTGAAATTTAGAAAACCTTGTATTTGTGAATTTGATGGTAACTGCATTTTTTAAAAAGGGTTTCACTCCATAGATTAAAAAATAATATTGCAAAATAAGTTTATTTTTAACCACCTGATAAACGCAGAAATTATCAAGACAACCAGGGACCTGGTTCAAAAAATTCATTTAAAAGATACTTCAGGTGACTTAAAAATACACTTTTTAAAATAATTTGTGGTGGGGATAATTTTGGTAAGAAAATCTTACATTGAGTGTGAATTGTTATTTTTGAAAAACAAAAGGACTATTATAAGTACAAATAGTTTCCAGGAAAAACCTTTTTCCTCAAACAGCTGTCTTTATAAAGGTACCTTAATGATTGCTTTGTGAAGTTGATTGTTATCGTCATGTCCAAGAGGAGGTCTGACATTTTATCAATATCACAGCATTTTAAAGGAACATAGGAAACAGTCGCGTGTCACTTCCAAAGATTTTTATTAAACAGAGAATTAAACTGACAATTTATACATCAACATAAGCTGATGCTCATAACACATTGGGTCTAGTCAAACTATTCTGAGCATTTATAAGCTATTGATTCATAGATGTATACATATTTTCATAATTTACCATTTTGGAGACTATGCACTTTTCCTCCTAATGTTCTAAAATCTCGTGGCAGGATTTTTATTATATGCAAATTAGCAGCATTTGATTAGGTCCTGAGGCGGCTTCACCTGGGTGTTCAGAGGAATAGCAATGGGAAGTGAGGAAGAATATTTCATCACTGAAGTGTGTTTTCCCTTGGGGGACACCACCATTTGATTTTGACATTTATTTGTCCTGTGCTATAAAGGACAAAACTACAGTTATACTTTTTTTATACTGTGCAGTGGGCATCATGTCAGAAAAAATTAAATCAAAATAGTATGTTTGCACACAAAACAAGATCCAAAACCAAACTCATTAAACAAATCCCTGGTTAAAATCATAGTGCTTTAAAAATACTATTTGACTAATGCTCAATGTTGAGTGTATATAAATAGAATCCATGAGAAACCAAACTGAAGAAACCAGATTACATCTATATAGCTTCACAGTGTTCTCTTGGCTCTCTACAACAAAATACATTTGAAAATATAGGTTCATTCGGTACTTAATTACCAAGTTCTTGTTTGCCTTTCACCATTTTTAGAATCCTGAAACAAAGTTACTACCTGATAGTTAATGATTGCTATAACAATAAATATTTGCCAAATATATTTTCTTGTATTTTAAATTTTGCAATCTTTTTAAAATTTGAAATCTATACCACTTTATATTTTTCTGTCAAGAAATAATTGAGTCACTTTTTAAAGTTGAACTTGATCATATTAAAAGTAATTTGAAAATATATTTTATTTGTCCATTTATCAAAATATAACAACCTTTGCGAGTGATTACCTTGAACAAGAAATACAAGGAAAAAGACTAAGAACAGTCAATGACAGCTACAAGTTTTCTTAAGCATGGAGTTAGCTTTTATTCCCTAATTATCCTCACAGCAATTATAAACCAGTAAAGAACAAATTAAAGCTTTCTCAGAAATATTCTAAAATTTGTGTTTTTTCAAAGCCACGATTCTCTGTAAAGCATCTCTTAACTGAAGAAAATAGTCACAAAGCACCTTCCTGTTTTGATAACTAAATAAAACTAAAATTACCAGGACATCAAACATCCTAGAATTGATGCATTTCTGTGGATTTCAGGAAAAAGTACCTTTTTCTGTTATGTTTTATATATCTGCATTATGTGTTACTTTCTAAATATCATAAATTTAAATATAAATAATAATTATGTATCTGGCACATAAAAAGTTGGCTATGATGTCAATAATGCTAAAGAGAAAACTGAAACAGTAATATGTGCTAATAGCAAAAAGTGAAGTGAAATGGAATCTCCTCTAATTAAGGCAATCTTAAGTCATGAATGATGTAGCTATCATGAATTATTAAGGGTGGTCCCAGTAATTTAACTAAAAATAATCCTTTTACTATATTCCCAAAAGCCAAGTGTTCTAATAATTTAAAGGTTTGAAATCTTTCCTTTACTTTGAAGGAAGTAAAATTAAGTTATCTTTTAAAAGGCCAAATGTTGAACCATAAACTCCTTTTTATCCCTAAAAGTATCACTTGTTTAGTTTTAATTGGAAATATTTATAACAAAATTGGAAATTATTCATGTGATTAAAAGGAACATTTTATATAATGAATTAAATAGTAAGCCAGACGAGTCTTTATTTTCTTCATTTTTTTTTCCTCTTCTGATAGAGTGAGCCAATTCACCATGTATTTTCTAGAATGGCTCTGAAGAGGGGACTCCAAAGAAGGAAGAATTAAAGGATAATTGGTCCAGCTTTTTATACGTCAAGTAATGGATAATTAAAGCTTTCTTAGATTAATTCATGTAGCCAAAATACAACTACTACACAACTACTGCTCTGAGATCAAGCCAGTTCTATTTTCTTGTTCTTTTTGTTGTTCTTGCTTTTAGGGCAACTTGGTTCAACTTACTTCTATCTAGATGATTTGTTCAATGGGTTAGGAAATTGATTTCTGTTAACAGGGCCAATGAATAAGTAGCCAGTGATAGAGCAATGCTACAAGGACCAGGTGAGATATTGAATGTGACTAAGCTTTATGAATACGCAAGTCCAATACCAACATAATATGTTTTTATTATAAATTTAAGAGATCTAAAATATGTTGAGGAGACGTTGGAAGTCAAGAGGGAACCAAATGCATGCCATACAAGCTAGTGAATTTGCATAATTTGAACTTCATCTCCCTGTGAGGCTGTAAAGTTCTTGTGAGCTGAGAAATATCTCATACCCCCTATGGTGATTTAGTGCCTGCTTGGCCATAATAACCACCCCAGGGTCCTGGGCCACTCAGAGCTCTTCAGAGCATCATACTTATAAGACTCCTGAGACACACGTAAAGAAAAAAAGGAATTGTCATTAAAAGTTGTATTGATATTATGACTAGAATTTTGGCAATAGCTTATCCTTTGGAAAACTGAGAAATGCTATAATGTAGGAAGCACATGCTGGCAATATTTAACAAACTAGCATGATAGGAAAAATGGAAGTGAATTTGGCTTTAATATGGTAAAGAAAACACTATTGTTGCCCCTGCCTTTTCTCATTTGGGCATTTTCCCTTTGATCAGATTTGCCACTGTTGACATGGGAGGCACTCACTAAATTCTGACAGAAGAAAATAAAACACAAAGTGGACGCCAGCCCCTGGTAGACAGATACCACAACACCAACCACAGGAACTTCTAACCAAGTCTGAAGCAGGGGATATGTTTGTACCTATGTTCAATGTTATTTCTAACTGCAGCTCTAGAATACCAAATATTCTACCTGTATACCCACCTAAAGACTTGAGGAATGAATCACAAGTATAGTTTGTTAGAAGTACATAACCCACTGAGAGGCCAGTGAATTGTCTTTGGAAGCTTCAAATGATTTATCTTTTCTAAAAATTAAAAATCTATCTTCAAGAAAACTATTTGTGGGGAGAACTTACAAATAGTTTCTCACCTTCAGCCATTCCATTCACTAGTTCCAGTATGTCTCCAGGAAATATAATCCATCAATTATAACAAAAATATTTTATCCAGGTAACTAAAACTTATGTTTTCTTTTCAGATTAAAAAGCGAGCACAGGCTGAGTGCAGTGGGTCACGCCTGTAGTCTCAGCACTTTGGGAGGTCGAGGTAGGCAGATTGCTGGAACTCAGGAGTTCGAGACCAGCCTGGACAACATGGCAAAATCCTGTTTCTACAAAAGGTAAAAAAATTAGCTGGGTGTGCACACCTGTAGTCTCAGCTACTCGGAGGCTGAGGTGGGAGAACTACTTGAGTCCAGGACGTCAAGACTGCAGGGAGCCATGATAGCATCACTGCACTCCAGCCTGGGCAACAGAGCAAGACCCTGTCTCAAAACAAACAAATGAAGAAACAAGCAAACAAAAAAACTGAGCACAGAAATGTAAAGGGTCTTTTTGTCCATATTTTTCTTGAGTTACATTTTATAATACAAGTATGTACAGAAAAATGAAGAGAGTTGGTTAATCAAGTTTAAAACATTAAACACAAATAGCTCTACCCTCTTAATTTATTAATAAAAACAGACCAAAGATATCAATTATTGGTTAGCTCTGAAAGGTGGTGTGATTAATAGTTTGAAAGAATGTTAGGTATAGCTAATGGCATTTGTAAAATAAAAAAGAAAAATTTGGTACAAGTTTATCAAATATTTGTTGAGTTTCAATAATATGGTAGGCATTGTGAAGCATTCAAATGTGGTTCCTCTCCTCATTTTTTAAAAACTACTCCAGTTTTTTGTTAACAGATCTGGCTAGCTCCTGCAGCTTTGAAAAAGAATTTAAAGCCCATAAATTTCGCAAATCCTAAGCAAGAAGCATATATTAGTTCTTCAAAGCATATTGATTTTTTTAAAAAACACGGATTTTAGCCTTCATGTGATAAAACTTTTAGTGATTTTCTTACCATGTCTTGTTAAGGCTTAAGTTCCTCATTTACATATTTGATGTCTCTCAGGAGACAGACAAGCTTCAAGTTAATTATCTATGTAGCTGTAAGAACTCTTGTTTCCTGGTTAAGAACTCTTCAAAAGAAAACTAACAGTTATTAAATGTTACACTGAGTCACCAAAAGTAATCAGGATACACAATGAGAGGCACTAAACAGACACTTAAATTTAATAAAAACCTCAACTTTTTAGAAGATAAATAAAAAAAATCAATTAAATTTCTTACAGTAATTTTCAGGGAAAACAGCCAGCAGAAACCAAACAGCTAAAATCTCTGCTCTAGGAAGTGATTAGGCACTGCTGGAGGCTTAAAGAAATTATTGCAAAATTCTGGAAATAGACCCAGTGAACTCAGATCTGTAATAGAGTTGTAACTAAAGAAATGCCACGTTAAAAAAAAAAAGACAGTCTGGCATCTTTTCCACTGAATGTGCGCCACCATGCAGGGGTGTGTGTATGTGTGTGCATGTGTGTGTGTGTGTGTGTGTGCACATATATAATACATCATATGTAATATAAAATACATATGCAAACTATGTGCTGTTTGTAGACAAACTTACGCTTTTTTATATGATGACAAGAAAATATATGTGGAGAGAAATCATAATCATTGAATCTGAAAGTCTATTAAAGATCAGTTTCATGGAATAAGAAAAAGAAAGAAGGGCAACCATAAGACAGACTTGAGTTGAGTTGGGAAATTGAAACCACAGCTATCAGGTGAGTTAATTAATCTGGGTATCGTTCAGTAAATGAAAGTGTGCCATCTATTTCACAAGGGCCCATTGTGTCTTGCATGTGAAATAAATTTACCCTGTTTGATTAAGGATTACTGATTGCCTCCAATTTATTATATGTATCCTATAATTAAGTCACAATGAGTTCGAATGAAATGGGGATGGTCTCCTCCACAAAGAAGACAACAAGCTCATTCTAGGAAGACCTTGGGGGTCATTCAAGAAGCAATTAAATGTTCTCTAGGGTACATTAAAAGGAAAAGAGCTTGATGGGCTGAACGGCCTCTCCTTATATTCATCCTTCTCAATATTCTGCCCCTATGGAGACAAATGAAACCATGTCATAAAATAATATAAGGCAGTATCAGCAAGGAAAACAATGCTGTCTGCTCTTATATACTAAGGAGAATGTTGTTGAGAAAATAATCTATACTACACAGAGGATAAAGAGGAGCATGAGCTAAAGTGATAAGCTATGTCAGAATCTGTTCAGAGATGGGAGGGTCTAAACAAATCAGTGGGCTCTGGAGGGGTGCACATGATCCTTGAGAATTATACATTTTTTCTGTTTACCAGTAGCAAATACCTAGAATAAATGCTTTTTAGCAAGTGAAATAGAAAAAGCAAGATCAGTAACTGTTGTGCCTACAAATACATTTCTCTATAGTTTTAGAAACACTCTTATAAGTAGGCACCATAAAAGCAAAATTACACTGATAGCTATTGAAGATGCCAAGGAAGACTAATATGATGGCAATATGGGAGAGAGAGACTGAACTCAAGTCCACTGAAACCAAAGGTAGGGGAATCTTTAAGCACTAGGGTGAGTTACAGGAAAGTACTGGAAGACTTTAAAGGCGAGATTTGTGAATCTGATTAGGCACCTGTATTTGCTAATCAGCACTTATGGAAGTTAGGCTTCTACCTTCCCACAGAGACAGAGATAAAAACCTTATCTTTCTTGATAATTATACTTTTTTAGAAGATTTACATTTCAAAAGGGCAGAGAAAGAGTTTACAATTGCAAGTTTTTTCGAAGTAAATACTTTAAGGGAGGGAAGTCAGGTGCCACAGTCAGGAAGAAACCTATCTAAAGATTAGTCAGGTTTTAGAGGGTGGGTCTACTACTCTGAAATCAGTTTGGCCTCACATAGAAATGGAAGCATCACCGCTGTAACTATTCCCTTAATAAATGCATCTCTTTGAAAAATACAGGTCCTAAAATATGCCAGTCTGCAAATAGTTATGAAAATATTCATTACTGAAGTAACTAAAATATAATTAGATCAGTTTTATACATTAAAAACAGTTAATTTTGTTTACATACTAATCAAATAATAAAAATCTTATCACCTAGTATATGACCCAAAAATTACTCTCAAAGACTTCTGTGTTTTTTTTTTCTAAATAATCCCAGAATGAGCACATTTGTATGTAGAAGCCACATTTTATAATGGAAAAATAAATTTTCAAAAGGATCGGAAGACACAGCCCAAATCTCAGCCACATAAGTCATTTTTTCCATAAGCTTAGGAACATGATTTACCTTCACTGAGATTTATTTTCCTCATCTTTAAAGGAGAAAACCTGCTCTGCTTACATGACTGGAGATGAGAGAATGATGGAAAAACTTTTAAAACGTGTAGTCAAAGGCAACGCAAGAGAGAAAAGCAGAGGTCAGGTCAGGATGGATCTAAAAGCTGTATTTAGGAATTTTTTCCAGAAATCTAAAAGCAATAAGAAGTCATTGAAGAATTTTTAAGCAAGAAAGTGGCATTATATGATGGTCATATTAGGAAAAAATACTGTAATGGCAGTGTGGAGAATGTGTTAGCATAGCACAATACCAGAGACTATAGAACATGTAGTCCTGGGGGCAGATCCAGGGGTGGTGGCTACTGAGGCTTAGACAATTTGGAGGCTCTCCATAAAATAAAAAATACATAAAATTCTAAGACCAGAGCATTTTCAAAGGCCTTTGGAAATACAGAATGCTAAAGCTAAAGCTTTATTAGTGTAGCAATAAATTAGCCTCTGAAGAAACAGTTAAATACCAGTATGGACCTGATCATGGTAAACTGATCCAGAATAGTAAAAGTGGGGATGGAGAGGCTGGGCAGATCCAAGAGATGGTAAGTGGGTAGAATCACTAGGACATGATGCTGCATTATGTCAAGGTAGAGAAAGAGGATTTCTGGCTGGGTGGATTCAAGCATCAGCCTCAAGAAAGAGGGAACACCTCTTCTTCTACAACAACAGGGAAGATGGAAAGCTTGAGTGGAGATAGATGGGCATGAATTCCGTTGGCAAGTTGAAGGTTCCCACATCCAATGGCGAATCTGTTTTGAAGAGAATTGCAGTATAAGAGGACAACACTATTTCAGGAAAGAGGGAGAAGACAGAAATGTCAGTACTGCACAGAAGGCAAGGAGGATGAGCATGTAGAAACATCTCATTTCTGAAGGAACCACTACAGGTTTGTAAAAGAGCAGATTCACGCAATGAAAGGGAGAGAGTGTGGATGGGAAAGTGAATAAAGTATGCATCGAGTTCAGCCAACTCTTTGGAGACTTCTGCTGGTGAGGGAAAGAAGAGTGATGGAACCATAGTTGGACAGGAGCTGGGGTTGAGTAGGGCATTTAAAGAAGAGCTGATGATGACTAGGTGAAGAGGCTGAAGAAACATGCAAGATTAATTATCTTAACAGCAGCACCACATAAAAGGATGGGACTCAAAGCACAATGGGTAGGGTAATCCTCAAGTAGAAGGTTACGTTTCTGATATAACAGGAGAAAAATAAGAAATTATAGTTGTTCATGCAGTTAAGTCAGTAAGGAAGGGAAAATTAGAGAGTTCATTTGTTTTTGATTTTTGTCTGAGTCTAGAGTCAAAGTCATCTGCTGAAAATGAGACTATGGAGTAGAAGGGATGGAGGCAGAAGTCAGAGGCTCATAGAGAAGATTTGAAATAGGCACGAGGGGAAATAGAGGGAAAGCTAAAGAAAGGCACCAGAAGAAATGGCAGGCAACACTGATGACCAGATGAAGTTAGAAACCAAGAATTTGTGGTGGCAACAATTCATGCAGTTGTATATCTGTATTTGTGTCTTTCCAACCATTCATCAAGTGATGTGTTGTTATGAAGAAAGCATATAACTGGATTGATCCAATGTTGAAATTTTACCTGGTGGATAAGACAGACAATGGCTCAAGAGTTCTGAGGATACAGACACAGGATGGTTACAAAAATGGACCATCCCATTCAGTCAAGAACAAGGAAGAAATGAAAGGTATATGTAGACTGATATATGGGGAAGAAGTAGAAGAGTAAAAAGACAAGATATTCCTAAGAAAGTGAAGGTCAAGAAGAGAGTTAGGGCTGGGCACCATGGCTCACACTTCTATCCAAGCACTTTGGGAGGTTGGGTGGGGTAGATGGATTACTTGAGGCCAGATGTTCAAAGCCTGGGCAACATAGCAAGACCTCGTCTCTCAAAAACAAACAACAACAACAAAAACAGCCAGGGAAAAACATATAGTGCATGCCTGTAGTCCTAGCAGCTATGGAAGCTGAGGTAAGAGGGTCACTTGAGCCCAGGATTTAGAGGCTGCAGTGAGCTATGATTGTGCTACTGCACTCCAGCCTGGACAACAGAGTGAGACTCAGTCTCTGAAAGAGAGAGAGAGAGAAAAAAAAGAGTGGGTAATTTGATGAAAAGTTAGAAAGACAGAAAGTTGTTATCTAGTAGGGAGGGTTTCAACACATTACTCAACAGGAGGAACCATTACAAGTATTCTGATGTCCGGAATGTGGTTATAGAGGTACCTGAAATAAACTGGGTGTAAAAGTCAGCAGAAGGAAGACAAAGAGGAAACGTGCTAAAATATTGTATTTAAACATTGATGCGAAAATTTACGTCATTCCAGATGATGGAAGGAGTTGCATTGGTAAGGAAAATAGTAACTCAGGTCTAAACACCTGAGTGATTGGTAGTCTGTAAATTGGTTGAAGCAGGCCAGGCACGATGGTTTCTCACGCCTTTAATCCCAGCACTTTGGGAGGCTGGGGCAAGCAGATCACCCAAGGTCAGGAGCTTGAGACCAGCCTGGCCAACATGGTGAAAATCTGTCTGTACTACAAATATAAAAATTAGCTGGACATGGTAGCAGATGCCTGTAATCCCAGCTACACTGGAGGCAGCGGCACGAGAATCCCTTGAACCAATAAAGCAGAGGTTTCAGTGAGGCAAGATCGCGCCATTGCACTCCAGCCTGGACGGCAAGAGTGAAACTCCGTCTCAATAAATAAATAAATAAATAGGTTGAAACAACTAAAGAGCTTTAAAGGACTGAGGATTTTGATTTTTGTGGTGGGGGTGGGGGATGATCTGGATGGGACACTGGGAAGTACGGAGGATGCTTATCCCACCTTAAGGCATTTGTGGTGTGAGAGAATGTGTAATCTCACTCAAATGGGCAATCCTGAAACCTCTAACTGTAGGGACTGCTAGGTGTCTAGGATGATTAAGAAGGAAAGGAAACATTCCACGAAGGGTTTAGGGATGCAGGAGTAACAGGATTCAGTTGGCCAAGTGAAATGTGTCAGGAGAGAAGTACAGTGGAAACAGGAGCCAGACGAGGTAAAGCACAGGGCAGTATGGGAAAGAAGGTACTAGGGACAGAGTAAAGGTATTTGAATATCCAGTGATGGCAGGAATAGCGGGTTTATTTGTTTCCTAAAATATTCTGATGAGGTAACCATGGATAGCCAGACAATGGGCCAATCCCAAAGGCATTCAGATCATTTCCAGTAGAAAGGAAAGCAGATAGCAAGGAGAAAAATAAATCAGGTTTCTGAAAAAAAGATGACAGGGAATCAAACAGATTTTATGAGTTCACCATTTGGTTTAGGAGGATACCTCGTTGTCATCCAGCCTTTGTTAATTCTTTTTGAGACTCAAATAATAAAGTAACTGTGATTTGCATGTACTTTTTTTTTTTTTGAAACGGAGTTTTCACTCTTGTTGCCCAGGCTGGAGTGCAATGGCGTGATCTCAGCTCACTGCAACCTCCATCTCCCGGGTTCAAGTGATTCTCCTGCCTCAGCCTCCTGAGTAGCTGGGATTACAGGCATCCACCACCATGCCTGGCTAGTTTTTGTCTTTTTAGTAGAGATGGGGTTTCACCATGTTGGCCAGGCTGGTCTTGAATTCCTGACCTCAGGTGATCCACCTGCCTCAACCTCCCAAAGTGCTGGGATTACAGGCGTGAGCCACTGTGCCTGGTTTGTACATACTTTTTAAGTCAGGCTTTTCATATGTTACATCTAAAATCAATGTCAAAAAATATCCACTCACTGGATCTTGTCACACAAACTCTTGTCATCAACCGCGGCATCTCATTGTCCTCAACCTCTTAAATGAACTCATTCATTCCAATCACCATACTCTGTTCCCTGGCTCCAGAACACATCCTCTCTTTCTTTATTCCTGGTCTAGGATATTTGTTATTGTCTCTCTGCTTTTCCAAACTCCACCTTCTTTCAGGATCAGGCTCTAGCACCCAGTCATCCATAAGCCCTTCCCTGAAGAGCAGCCCTCAGAGCATTTTTTAAGTCCTATACATGTAAATGATTTACATAGGTAAATGTAGTGATCTACATAGATGCTCCCTTGCCTTGTTATTTTACCTTCAATATATGTCCCCTGCCTTTCCAAACAGACTGTAAACCTCTCAAGGGCAGGAGCCGTATCCTATGCCCTTTCCCATCCTCGGTTCACATCATGGTGCTCTCCCATAGCAGGGTTGCAATATAATTGCTATGTTGCAAGAGAATTGGGGCCTGTGCATTGGGCTAGAAAAAATGCCTTAACCAAAAGAGTGCCTCTCAGGAGGAACTTCAGGTTTCATAGCAAGCTAGTGAACTATTTAGGAGCAGAATGGCCTTTTTATATCCTTTAAATTATACAAGTTAGTTAGAGGGCCAGCCCTGGCAGGAGGAGGATTATCATAAAATGTATATTTAAAAATAAGAATAGTTATATTTTGAAAATTTAATTTTGAGTCTTGCTAACAGTAACCTTATGAGAAAATACCCAAGTAAGTATTGGGCACTTCTTTTGAGTGATGCCATTAATATTTACTAAATTAATGAAATCTGAAGATTCAGTCCTAATAATGGCATGAAAGTTGCTTTTCATCCCAGGATGTTCTTTGAACAACTGCCTCACATCTGAGCACACATCCGTGCTTACAAAAGGAAAAAATAAAAGGGAAGATGAGTAAAGCGGCCACCTGCCTAAGCCAGTCTGGACGTGAGCACTTTGTGCTGAGCAGCTGCTGTAGAGCTTCTTCCTCACAGCTGGAAAATGACTGTAGATTAAGGGGGTGATCACACAGCTGGCTAGGGAGGTTGCTATGTCAGTACCCTCTAGTCCTCTCCCTTGGCTCTGCTTACTTAGCTCTGGCTATATCAGGAATGGCAGGTGCATGAAAGAATCAAACTCCCCAGAAGACAATGGTCAAATCAACTGTGAAAGTTTTCGATGTATGTATAAATTCTTGATACTTTCTTCAGGGCATAGGCTAATACCCCCAGTAATCACTCTTCCCAGACCACATTTTTAAGGTGAGATGTAGGATCAAACAACAAAATATAATATAAAATTAAAATTAAGATCCAAGAAGCTTAGTAATGAATTAACATCTAAAATTGGGAAATAGGTTGTTTCCTCTGGGGCTGTATCCTCTGAGTTTTTTGACACAAATTTCAGGCAATAGAAAATAAATGGAGACTAATAGGACTCGATTTATAAGTTAGGTTAATTTAAGAACTTAAAGAGACAACAAATGCACAAAAAATAAAAATGTGGAGCAAAAAAATATGCTCAGAGTTTCCATGAAGCTACCACTTTAACACTGCAACAACTCAAAAATATATAGTTGTTATGTGAAAGGCACACAAGGAAAGGGGG
Source organism: Homo sapiens (assembly GCF_000001405.40). NCBI lineage: Eukaryota > Metazoa > Chordata > Mammalia > Primates > Hominidae > Homo > Homo sapiens. Next base: position 115,146,590 of record NC_000007.14, on the reverse strand, counting down.
CTAGAATGGAATGGAAATGTTTAAAAATAAAATTGTTATTCACACAACAGGGAATGCACGTAAACTCCTGCTACATAAAGGTATTTCCATTATCCAAGAAAATACAAACATTTATCTCTCTGCTCTAAGGCTACCTGTTTGAATGCACTAAATACCTACTTCTGCCTCCAGGCTACTGGCACAGAATCAGGTCAAGAGGTATGAGCACTTACAATTTTTTCCTTCCTGTTTAAAGAATTATGCAGACATATTCAAAAAATCTCCCTCAGACTCCAGTTTTTTTAATCTAAACTTAGGTTAAACCTGAAAAACTGGTTTCCTGTCACGTATTACTTTCCGCCCAAATGCTGGTTTACTACATCATGTAGGTGTTCAGATTTGAATTCTGAGGAGAGAATGTAATAGTCTCTAAAGTTTAGTAAAATAAAGTTTTCATGGGAAAAATTAGTGGAGGAAATATGAAGCTAATAAAAGCAATTATGGGTAAAAATCTTTGTGACTTTGGAATGAAGAAGGACTTGTTAAGATCCAAAAAGGCCAGTAGGGCAAAGATTAAACCAAAATTTAGAATTTCTGTTTGTCAAAATTACCATAGACTAATGGTTGACAGACCAGGAGGGTGGAAGAACTTTTCAAAACCAAGAGTTAATTAGGAATTAATATTGGCACCCCAAAAGAGTTTCTTACAAGAAGTCAAGGAAAAGACTGGAAGCCTGATAGAAAAAAAAAAAATGAGCAAAAGACAGGAAGAGGAATTCAGATTGGAATGCAAATAGCTGAACAAATATTGAAGAATTGCTCAACCTAATACTAGAAAAAAGTTCAAATTAAAATACCCCTTTATATCCATCAGAGTCACAAAAATTAGAAGTTGAGTAATACCAAGAGTTAGCCAAAATGTAGAAATGAAATTAGCACAGTCATTCTGGAGAACAATCTGGCAGTATTTAGTAAAAATCAGAGTGGTGTAACCAATGACCTAGTAATTCGTCTCCAGAGTATATCCAGAAAGAATCACTCACACGGTTGCCTAAAAACACATAAGTAAAGTATGGTAAATGCATACCATAAAATATTATGCCTTGCTTAGAAGCAATGAACTAGAAATACAAATAAACATGGAAAGATCTTAAAAACATAGTTTAAGCAAAAGAAAAAAGAAAATAAAAGGTCTAAACTATCATGCCATTTATACAAGTTAAAAATGCATAAACACATAAAATATGGTGTATAAAAGAAAAAAGTGAAATCTATGGAAACAAATGAGTGGCTTTAAGAAAACTCCAGTACTTAAATATTGTAAATATTAATTAAGGTTAAGCTCACATTTAATCTTAAAGCACTATAGTTATTATTATATTTTCTCATATTCCCTACTGTATAGTAAATGTAGAGTGGTAAGCTGTATTCGTTTATAGAGCGCATTCTTTCTTTAGGGAGAGGTCACAGCTCTTCTAAGACCAGGATTTCTGGGGTCCCACCTTTCTCAATTCTGCTACAGGAAAGCAAAAGCTAGAGGCGATCTGAGTCAGGGACAGAGTTGAACAGAAGCTTTTACCCCTACTTTCTGTGAAAATTTATCACTCTGAAAATTTTTCGAAAAGTTAGTAAAACTTATTAAATATCCATCATAAATAAAGTCTGTAAAATAGGGATTATGTCACTTTGTCAAAACTATCTCTGTTTTGGCAAAAACAGAAATAGTGTTTGTCACTACAAAAGTTTTTCACATCCCATGTCCAAATATATAACAAAATTTTATTAAAATTTATTAAATTTATATTAAAATAAGTCAACAGTCTATATTGTAAATCGACATGCCATGGAGTAGAAAGCTGAAATGCAATAAATAAAATTAAATACATAAAGACATAAAAGAGCCCACACAGAGAAAGCATTTAAGTGCAATATAGTCCAGTAACGCTTATAATGCTGACTGCAGTGCAATAAACTTCTTCTACCAATCAATCAACTACATAGAAATAAAGCTGCTTTTATGACTCTATCCCATACTTTATGCACATAAACTCCAAAGAGGTATTTGAGCTTAAGAAAGAAGTTTGAAGCAATATCCAAATTCATTCATATAAAGTGAGGTAAAAGTTGCTATACATTTGGAAAATAAGAAGTACAATAAAATTTAATAAGAAATTTCCCTTGAACATTGGTGCTTAAGGTAAATTAAATTAAATTTTTAATTATAAGAGGAAGAGGCAGTAGAAGATGTCATTATAGATTCTGAAGAGGACCCAAGATATTTTAAGGGTTGATGTCATTGCTTCCCGATATTGTCTAATTTCACTACAAAAGGTAAAACTTTAATTTTATTTAATGAAGACATATCATTAGCTCTATTCTTGTACTCACTTGACTTGACCGGGATCATATGGGATTTCCAACTAGCAAAAGGGAGAGAGAATAAAAAGAGAGATGCAATTTTTCTGTGGCACTAACTGAGAAAAATCCAAAGGAAACAATGGAGAGATTGAAAATGCTTAAGAAGAAGTGTAGTGTTTTAGAAAGCAGGTCCCTAAGTTAAAGGGCCAACCCCATCCTGTCTCCCTTGCTTATTGATGATTAGAACTTCGGCAAATTATTTAGCCCCTAGTGACTAGTCCTGCAGTAGCTGTTTCTAGAAGATGAAAATGCAGGCTGGGAGATACCTTTCTTTTTTCTTTTAGATTGTAACTAGATTGTAATTAGTGTGGCTGAATCTAAATATCTCATCCCCTCGCAGAGTGTTAGAAATATATTGGTATTACATTTTCTGATTACATTTTCTGACTTACTGTACTTCTTAAACATAGTGATCATAGGTCATTTTTACATCAATATGCTATAAAATAAATTTATTTAAAATAAATATGAATAACTAAGAAAGAACAGCAATCAGCAATTCAAAAGCAATTAGAACTTAATAATATTATAAAATATTTGGGAAGCATATACAATTGACTTGGAAGAGAGTACTTTTAGAAACTAGATTGTAATTAGTGTGGTAATTTTGTTGGTCACAATGTGGGCATAGGAAAGGAAAAACATGGTTGATCAGTACTCAAAAACATGTACAGGACAGTGCTCTGTACAAAGACACTCGGCCAAGAAACCAGGGGAGCTGAGTGCAGCCCAGATTTCACTGGCCAAATTGCACATATCCCTCAAAGGTGCTTCATTTTCTAATTCATTCAAAGGTATCACAGAGTGCAATATATGCAGTACAATATATAGTACAGAAGTCCTGTTTCCCATTTAAATACCAGAAGACAGTTTCTAAAATTCTCTTTTTCTTAAAGAGCTAGTAAACACTTAGCCAGAATATATCCTCCCTTGCAAAAGAAGGATATTCCCAGAACCTGATGGAAAAGTATATCAGCTGTGATCTCTTTTCCCCAGATTAAATGCCTAAAAGTATACCACCTGGAGGTCCTTTTCTACCAGCTTAAATGCGTAAAACTACAACACCTGAAGCCCTTTCCCCAAAGTAGCATACGCTCCACAAAACAGGTGAGCTGGGTCACAGCATGATTATTCTCTATATTTAGGCCACCTTGTTACTCAATCCTAACTCAATATTACCATCAAATCAATCATGTTACTTTCCATAGCAACAGGCATTAAATCTGAGTATGTAAATAGACTTTTTGTTCTACTGTAGTTACTGTTGAAAAATGACACAGTTTTCTTAGGCTCAAGGATGCCTCAGCCCATCAGACCTGTATCATATCAGCCTCAGTGTCACTGTTGTCTGAGGTCATTGAACTGTACCTTAGGCTCTTACTCTGCGAGAAAAGACAATAACCACTCCCAACCACTGGAAGATGCCATTCTGACAATGGGCTAATTCAAAGTAATGGTACCCTCCCTACCCCAGCTTCTGGGAGTTATTCCCAAAAGTTTTGTTAGTAATGATTTTGTTTGATAGCTGATAAAATTTCTCAAATGAATTTATAACTTTCTTCTCTCAATATTTTAACTACGTTTTGGACCTTGGCTCAAAGTAAACTCTGAATCTGACCTCCTCTTGATCCAAATAATGACTCCAAGCTCAGCAGTCTTCCAAATCAACCTAAAATAAATACTAAAGTTTCATTCTTTCCCATAAAGATGTAGAACTGTGTATTTTTATGTTATCATATTTCGATATCTCTACCAATGTATAATATATGTAATTATTTTAAACAGAATATTTAACCAATCCAAATATCCCATTTCCTCACAGAGTGTTAGATAATACACTGGTTTTATGTTTTCTGATTTATCTCATTTCTTTTCATTAAAGCTTTTGGTTTTTAAGGACTTATTTTTCCTTAGCTAATTCTCCAATACGGTCACAGTATTCAACACACTACAGATGATCAAGCAATGCATGACACAATGGCTGACAGCAGCAGATGCTTTGGAGCCAGAAAAACTTCTGTACTTAATAGTCTAGATTCATAATTTACTTAAATAAGCAAGTTAATTAAATTATCTAAGCCTCAGTTTCCTTTTCTCTAAAATTGAAAATGTAATACCTTGGAACAGGTCTTGGCACAGTTTGTAGCTGTTTTACCCCTAGAGACAAACACCCCATCTGGGCAACTGTGGCTATAAAGGGTACTGGCAGAAGTGGGAACAGTGGCGAAACCAAAAATTATTTTTAATCCTCAATAATTTGGAGAATAAGTCATTCAGTAAATTGATTTTTAGCAAATTAGTTTTAGGCAAATTGGTTATTTGGCAAATTGGCTTTCCGCAAAACAGTTGTAAGCTAATTGGCTTTCTGTGAATTATTTTACGTAAATTGGTCTGTTTCCTCTCTAAAGTAATGTTTGAAATTAGTGGGCATTACTTCTCACAAAATATCAGTGGCCTCAATAGGTTGAGGTTTAATAAAAATAGTATATGTCAATAGCGACAGCTCTCTAGGGATATCACAAAAGAATCCAGAAGTATATCTGTTTCCTTTGATTATCAGTAACAAATTTTGAGGGGAAGGTTCTCTCCTGCATTCCCGAATGCTTGAACCTGATGGAAAAGTATACCAGCTGTGATCCCTTTTCCCCAGATTAAATGCATAAAAGTATACCACCTGGAGGTCCTTTTCTACCAGATTAAATGCGTAAAACTACAACACCTGAAGATCCCTTTCCCCAAAGTAGCATACGCTCCACAACACAGGTGAGCTGGGTCACAGCATGATTATTCTCTATATTTAGGCCACCTTGTTACTCAATCCTAACTCAATATTACCATTAAATCAATCATGTTACTTTCTATAGCAATTATTAGGATGGTCAAAATAAATGATTTCCTCCATTTCTCCCTGATAGAAATAGCCAGTCTATGTCCATTTTTATTCATTTGTTTTGCTCCTATTCTGTTGCCAAACTAGCTGTTTTAAGCAATTAATTTCTGAATTTAAAGTACTTGGGGGAAAGACAAAAGGGAATCAATCTTCAGGGGAACAAATATTTAGTCTCTATTGTAGTGAATTTTGGTTTTGCTTTCTGAAAAGTTATTAAAGATTTTCTCTTTTTTTGTCAACCAGCAAAATTCCTCAACCTTCCTCTTCTTTTTCTGGCCCCAGAGCTTCTCCCATGTGTTTGGAACTGACCCTCAGCAGTGATTGTTCCAAGACGTAGGCCATGACAAGCAAAACTGACAGTACTGTCCTAGAATAAGTAAATGAAAATTTAGGCAAATAACCTTTTTACCAGGAGAGCTAAGAGAGACTATATAGAGAGTGCAACCAAGCAGAGAGCTGCAGAGATGGGAGATGAACGAACAGGTAGTACTAAATCAGGTAGTACTGGATTCCTGGTTCCAGTCCTTATTGAATATTCATCTTTGTATTAGTCCGTTTTCCTGTTGTTATGACGAAATACCCGAGAATGGGCAATTTATAAAGGAAAGAGATTTAATTGACTCACAGTTCAGTATGGCTGGAGAGGCCTCAGGAAACTTAGAATCATCGTGGAAGGGGAAGGAGAACGGGAAGGGGAAGCAAGACACCTTCTTCACAAAGCAGCAGGAAAAACGAGTGCCAAACGAACGGGGAAGAGCCCCTTATAAAACCACCAGATCTCGTGAGAACTCACTCATTATCGCAGGAACAGCATGAGGGAAACCGCCCCCATGATTCAATTACCTCCACCTGCACTGTCCCTTGACATGCGGGGATTATGGGGATTACAATTCAAGATGAGATTTGGGTGGGACAAAAAGCCTAACTAACCATATCAATCTTTGAAAGAACAACTATCTTAATATATTTCCTGGCTACATAAACCAATTCCTTCTTCCTTACTCTGGTTAAGTTGGGTGTCTATAAATGGCATATAAAAGATTAATTAACACTATGTTTATCTAAGAAGACAGAGCATACCCTGCACCCCCTCCAAAGCTGGTAAAAAACCTGATCACAGAAAAATCCCCATCTCCCATGAAGCAGAGTACACGAAGCACCTTCATCAGAGTGGAGCCTCAGAAAAGGGAGAAAGTTGGTGCAATGTGTCAAGTCCCATGGTTTGGAAGGGACCAAAGATGACTATGTTGCATAGCTATACAAACATTAGTCAAGATTTTAGTTGATCTGTCTTTAGTTGATCTTTTTCTGGCTGGAATAAAAAACAATTTTCCCTCCTCACTATGACAGAATCCCTCCTTTTTCTGCACAGATAGCAAGAAATATGGGTATCTCACTGTGATACAGAAATGAAAGGATTTCCCACATGGGTCAAAAATACAAAACTCTTCTACATATGTGCACAATGTGTATGTTTATGGAGGTTTGGGATGAGATTATTAAATGGTTCTCCTGTGGAGGCTGCAAGTCATGAGCCTGCTTCTATGGAAGGTGAGTTCTCTCCTGAGGGGTCCTCTGTCAATTAATCACCAAGAAAAAAGTCTTTAAACAAGAAATGTGAAAGCAAAAAGAGGCAGCTTTATTTCTGCCTCTAGATTGTTCTATTGACTTTGAGAGTTCTAGATGTTTGTAAAGGTGTTTCCACGAAGCAGTGGTCAAATATGTCTTCCGTCATTTAGGGACAGGCATATAGGGAGCTACAAAAGAGCTGTGGTATCCTTGTCAGAAAATACAAGCTGAAAATATGTTCTTTCCCAGAAGCCAAATAGTCTAGTTCATGCTATTTAAAAAAAAATTATTTCCATTTTGTTATCCTTTAATAAAGTTCTGTCTGACTGCCTGATTTCAACTGCACTGCAGGTTATAAAGGTAAAGATTACACGTTCACAGTTGAATCAGAGTGGAATACCCAGAACAACACTACACCCTCTTCTCAGGACAAAATTAGGATAAGAGTTAGAGTTAGGAGTAGAGTAGGGGTAAATATGGAAAAAATCCCCCAAAAGAAGACCATAAAATCTACCTTCCACTATTCAATAACTGGTCTACTTCTTTATACCAACCTTGAGAAAACTTGGTTTTCTTTTATGTAAAAGAGAAAAATGGGCCATTATCCTAAGTGAAGTAACTCAGGAATGGAAAACCAAATATTATATGTTCTCACTTGTAAGTGGGAGCTAAGCTATGAGGACACAAAGGCATAAGAATGATATAATGAATTTTGGGGACTTGTTGGGGGGAGGGGAGCAGGGTAGTGAGGGATAAAAGACTACATATTGGGTACAGTGTACACTGCTCAGGTGACAGGTGCACCAAAATCTCAGACATCACCACTAAAAAACTTCTCCATGTAACCAAAATCCACTGTAGCCCAAAAACTTTGAAATAAAAAATTTAAAATCTATTAATTATTGAGACACAATACCATGCAAGTTGCTATATACTCCACCACTATTTGTTAGACTATAAAGGACTAAGAAAAATACTGGCTAAAATTTTGTTTAAAACATTGTAATTATTTTAAACCATTGTAAAATAACAAATAAAAAGCCTTTTAATGAGTTCATTATGTTTGGGGGTATGTTAAATGTTATTTTCCAATTACATGATTAGAATGAAAAAGTCAAGTTTCAATGCAGTTACTCCATTATTATAAATGAGAGCTAGAGTTGCCATTGGCTTTGGCTAAGGTCTCTTCAAAAAATAATCTTCTAATGCATCATAAATTACAGTAAATTCCTCTATAATTAATACTTGAGGATGAAAAATTGTATGCATTCATTAAATTTGAGTAAATTATGGTATATTATACATAAATTTCCCTTTCTGTTATTGTTTTTGAAAGGGAAGAAAAAACAGCTGAAATCCTGCTACAGTGGGTTTTTAACTCTACCTGCTATGCAAACATGCACAGACATCTTTAAAAAAATGAAATGAAAACAAAATAGGCATTTTCTGGTCTAATGAGCCATTTCCTTCAAAATAAATTCCCCAAATGGAAGTATTACATGTCTCATGCTAAGCATAAAAATAATGCTTTATGTATTTTCACAGTCATTGCAGTATCTCACTAATATACAAACTTTTGAGATTCAAGCGTAAAGCCACAGCAAATGTTCTAACAACTGGATTCTTCACTTCTAATAATAATAGCCCTTTAACCAAGCAACATGAATAAAAGCCTGGGGAAAACAGAAGTTTAGCAACAGTTGAGTCTCCCACTGCTGGAAATAATAGGTATTTTCCATGGGTTGGGTTTTATTTGTTACATAATGTCTCAAATTTTGTCACTTCAGTAAGTTAGGAGATTTTCAGTTGGATTTTCTTTAGGTTACTCACAAAATACCTTGCCCAAATGTCATCATGAAAGCAGCAAAAGATGGTATTGAATAAAAGTAACAGTGTTTACCTGATTGACTACCTGGCCCTACCAATCTCCCAGTGTTGTTGTAAGGATCAAATGAAGCAGCATATACTTAAAGAGTTAGTAAACATTTCAGAAATGCAGTCAAAACCAGGGCCAGTGAGACATCAGGATGCTGTTGTTAGGGGTAGTCACTGGAAGGACACACAAGAACATCTGAGATGCTCACAACGTTTTATTTCTTAATCGTGATGCTGATTACATGGGTGTGTTTGGTTTGTAAAAATTCAGTGAAGTGTACCTTAATGTGTGCACACTTTATGTCTGTTATTCTTCATGAAATTTTTTAAAAACTTGATTCTAACATGAGATGATCTTGTCTTTCAATTGTGTCAAAGTTGAATGCCTACAGGGGCTAGTCAGGACAAGTGAATGAACATGCCCGGCTGGCCTCCTTTGAATGGATGAACAAATGTCCTATCTAAAGGAGCACTATGGCTCAGCTCCATCCTTTGTGGTCGTGTGGGACTCACATGCCCTGTGGTGCTAGACTTTCAAGAAAGGACCCAAATTCAGATTTTGCACTGTGAGCACCCAGGGACAAGGAGGCTGGCTGCTCTTGACCTCAGTGTTGTCAGCACTAAGAATCAACCTCCATGGTATAAGTCATGAAGTATGAAGTGGCAAAAAGGGAGAGTCATAGGCAATATCCCAACAATGATCAGTTACCAGCCAGTGAATTTCCTGGAAGCTATCTCCACAATCACTCGGACAATTGTTCTGGCAATATGATAAATGGAAAACCATTGTCCCTGGGCTTATGTACTACCACTGGACAAGAAGACATGACAGGTAACACTAGATGATTTCTCATCCTGCCCACACACAAAAAAAATGTTTAAGTTGCTTTTCTAATGAATCTCCTATGATTCAGAAATATGCAAAGCAATATTGTACAAAGACATATTGTGAAGTAAGGCATCATTGTTCCAACAGTTCCTTTATTCTAATGGCACATGAATTTGATGTTTGAGATGATAAGGATGTGATATTGACAAATAAGAAAGAGAGGAAGAGGAGGAAGGAAAGAAGGAAGGAAGGAAGGAAGGAAAAGAAAGGAGGGAGGGAGAGAAGGAGGGAGGGAGGGTGAGAAAAGCTGACCCTAATCAAGTGTATTCAGAGTGTGGTTACGGAAAAGGGAATTAATGTAATGCCAGGCTCTCAAACAGGAAAACCTCAGGAGTATGCTTGAAGAAAGTAGTATATCAGATTTTGGCCCACCACTTGTGAAGATAAGGAAAAAATACAGTATTCTCTCCTTGCCCATGGGAGATACTTTCCAACTGCCCCCAATGGATGCCAGAAGCCCTAGATAATACCAAACCCTATATATAGTCTGTTTTTTTCCTATACACATATACCTATGATAAAGTTTATTTTACAAATTAGTCACAGTAATAGATTAACAACAATAACTAATAATAAAATAGAGCAGTTATAACAATATATTGTAGTAAAAGTTATGTGAATATGGTCTCTCTCTCAAAATATCTTACTGTACTGTGCTAACCTATTTTCAGACCACTTTTGATCACAGGTTACTGAAACTGCAGAAAGCAAAACCACAGATAATGGAGGCTACTGTATTTTCTGTAGCTGTTGTCAGAGTTCCACCCTTTCCTGCTCTACACCACCCAGGCTCTCTGCATGCTTTGCTCAAGATGATGGAACTTTCTGCACTCAGTGCCAATTTTTAGTTAGATTAGTTTTCCCTAAAATCATTTTTGTAGCAAACAGTCACTTCCATGTTTTATTTATTTAAGGTGTGAGAGTTTGAACTTTTCAGCTATTAAAATAATCCTTTGAAGATAAGCCAAAATTTTTGAAAAGGATCCTGTGAAGGCCAAATAAAACAAACCTGCTTTGTTGATCTTAATTACTGTACTCTTTGAGAAGATGCAAACATTCCAGGCTCCCTTCTCAAGTTACGCAATGCTCCTTTGCCCTATTCTCAATATAATGGGGAATGGTTGAAGGGGACTGTAGAGAAGCCATCAAGTGACCTCCCTTCCCTACTTTTAAGACTAAAGTGGTCCTCACTGTATTTCACAAATATATACCTACTGTTGAACAAAAACATGTTGAATATTTATGTCAATAACAAATATTAATATTTATGGCATCTTCCAACTCAGAGCTACCACATCACCCTAACAAGACGTTTTTATTTATGACAAATCTTTCATTTTGTTGTCTCACGTTTAACAAAAATTCTTAAAAATGAATGTATTTGGGTTTGTATGTTTATTTTAAACCACAAGTAATGTATGGTGAAGAGTTGAAAATAGAAGAAATTAGGCATATCGCCACAAATTTTGATGTATAGCCTTCTTTATTTTAAGGAAGTATACAACGGGCACAGTTTTGCTATTTCCTGAAAAGAACTGACTCTGGTGGTTCTGCTCAGCAGCGTTTTTTTTTCCAGCTCAAAATAGAGGATTTCCTGAGGTGAGGGTGGATGAAAGTCTCTCCCATGCTGTAGAAACAGTAAAAGAAGGCTGTGTTGGCCACTGGAGCCTATGCAAATACCAAGTGGGCAAATTACCAAAGTAATTAAACATGCGAAGGAGAAGTATCTACCATGGTATCCTGTTTGAGAAGAAAGCAGAAAAACATATTTTAATATGAAAACAAATTCCACTAGAAAATAGTGATTCATCAGATTATAGGCATTTGCAGAAAGGACAGTAAACCCTAGTAATAATAAGCAAATATTCCGTTATGGCTAAAGGAAGTCTATAAGTCTCTGAAACATGCAAAGCAACACAGACTGAATCTTTCCCAAGAGAAGCAGCAGCGAAGTTAGAAGGAGAAACAATGACAGCACAAAGCACTGGAGAAGGTGACCAACCACAAACAAAGGGAGATTCAAGGTAGACTGAGACACACACCAAGCAAAGTTAGTAAAACATTACAACCCCCCCGCTAAGAAGATGCGTATTTTTTAAAAATCATTTTTACATTCACAATGTACAATCTTCCCATTTCCAAAAAGGACTTGGTGCCATTAAAATTCAACACATATTTATGAATTTTACCACAGTTATTTGTAATTTGTTGTATATTTTAAGCTGAGCTAAAAATCTCATTGAAATTTTTATACATATTGAGATAGTTGTTGATAATTCATTTCATCTTAACGTCTTATAAACTGTTTGTAGGTGATGTGCCTACCTTGAGCAGATTCTGAGCTTTATTCTGTTTGAAACATGATCAGATAAAGATTCAATGCCCATGTGCAATAGATATCAGACAATGACAAATATTCTAGCAAAATGTCTTGACCCAGTCCATAGCAAGTTGTGTGACAATGAATAGGTCACTATTTCTGAGACCTTGTTGCCTCATTGTTAAGATATCGATACCTTCATTGCTTGTCTCACAGTTGTGTTTTAGAATCAAAAGAGAAAAAAATATACAACAACACAGAAAGTATAAAATATACAAATACAAATATACAAGCATAATTAGTGTCCATTAATACAAATATTATGTAATTAGTAACCATTTTTCGAGGAGTCCCATCCTAAATGAACCCCTTGCTTTGTAGTTTATTGGGCAGGTATTGTTACCAGGCATTATTCTATGCTCTTTACAAGCATTATCATATTTAATTTCTTCCAGTGATATTCTGAAATAGCTGCTTTTATGATACAGAGGAAAAAACTAGACATAAAAAGTTAGATAGCTTAACTATGGCTAGTAGTTAATAGAAACTGGAAACAAGCTCAGGCTGGCCTGATATCTGTTTCGGCTAACCACTAATATTTGCTGCTTACAATATTGTAAATGCTCTATGAGTGCTTATATAATATTATAGCTATTAATTTGCCCATCAGAACTTCTTGTAGCCAAATGAAGTTTGCAATAGGTATGATTTTAAGCCAAATAACTTGAATCCTGTTAACTTTCCATATCATATCAACAATCTAATCTATAAGCCATAACTGTTTTCCTAGCACTATTATTTTATTATATTCAACTTTGATAAGGAAATATATTTAACTTTAAGAACAGGACAGAAGTAAGACTTATTAAATGTCAAAAAGTAATGGAAAGTAAATAAGATGCTACTCCAATAGGAGCTAGCTTAATTCTCCATGCTCAGCCCATCACTCAGAAGAGTGAGTGCTCAGTAAACAAGCATGGCACCAGACACCAAGATAGAAAGATGAGCAAGACAGGGCCCATGCGCTGAGAACATCACAGGCTAGCTGCATAAAGAGACATGTAAACAAACAATGGTAACACAGTGGGATGCTTACCATAACAGAAATAGGCAATGGGAACCCTCAAGGAAAAGCGCATACGTGCAGCCCAATGGGTGTGGTTAGCAAATGCTTTACAGAGAATACAACACTTGAGCTGGGCTCTAAAAGAGACAAATATTGACAGAGAGAGATGAGAAGGATATATCAGGCAGAGGGAATTTCATGAACAATAGTACAGAGGCATAAATGTAGACAATGAGTTTGGAAAATACTAGGCAGTGGGAGAAAGTTTCTCATGGGCATCCCTTTTCCGCATGTCTCATGAGCTAACGGAGTTTAAATAGGGTTCATGGAGGTGAAAGAAAGCTAATATGACACTATGGGTGGGGCCATTTGGGCCAATTCAATGTTTTTTTAACATCTGAAGGTACAGTAGAAATTGATATGTTATATGCTTGTGCCTCATCCCAAAAGTGCCAGTGGAGATTCTTCTGATTAGGAAGAGCTGCATGTAGAGAAGTGCTGGTATCGTTGGAGCCCCACAAATCTCCTCATCCTTTTGAGCTTTAAGTTTCTGTGGCTAATGATTTAGCCAATGGGAGCCTCTTTCAAAGGGTAGCAACTTCCACCTACATCACCTTCCTGACATGACTAGCAAGTACTTCCTGTTGAAAACCATATAATACTTAATGCTAGGTTCTTACCTACATGGAGCACTTGATCCAAGTAGGCCTTGCAACTCTTTGACCTGATATTGGGGTGGGTCAACTTGGGCTCAATAACTTGGCTTCAATAATAAAAGACAGAAAGGACCTAACAGGCCTTCCTTTTCAAATGGAAATGAAATAGCCAAGAACAGAACCAAGGTATCTCAGCTTTATATGAAACAGAGGTAGCCTTCCCTTTGGGGGAAACTTTTTCCCCACTCCAACACATTTGAGACAGAGTTGCTGACTCAGTGGGGTTCTTGATCCACAGAGATCACCCTAAATGTCTAGGTCTGGTTCACAGATAGTTTGGCTAAACAGAATCATGATGTTGTCCACTGGGCTGCTGTGGCTGCCCAACCCAGAACCATCTACACTAGTACCAAAATAAATTTGGTCTTTCTGCTGAATGGGCAGAGCTCAAAGCTCTGGCCAGTACTTTGCTTGATGAATCTTGGTATATTTTTTACAACTCCTGGTTTGTTGCCAATGGGCTAGATATTTGGTCTGCTGCTTGGAAAACTGCAGACTAGCAGATTAAAGACACTGCTCTTCAGAATTGCAAACTGTGGAAAGCAACCATGGATTTTGATTAAACTGTCTTGGTGACTCATGTACACGCCTTAGTAAGTGTCAGCTTTTGATGAGACCAACTGGAGTCAAACAGCTGATACAGCCTGAACCACTGAGATTGCCATGATTGCTGCCTGAACCCCTTATGTTGATGGAAACACATCTACAATTGCAAGACAACCACAAAGTAAAGGACTCTATGTTGCCTACCACATGCCAGACTTGTGGCTCCTGCCAAAAGTTGACCTCTTTATCTCACAGTGAGAAAGGACATATTGAAAGCGGCATTGCTCCCTCTCACTCCTAGCAGATTAACTACATCAGACTTTTGACCACCTTCTTGGGGCTGTTGGCCATGTCTCACCACTGAAACACAGGTTAGAGTGTTGATATACTTGTCACGTCCACTGACTCTGGCTATAACATTATGGTCCTTGACACTTTCTGTGTCATATATTTGGCTTTTCAAAAAATTTCCATTATGACAACTTTTCAGCTCTTACTGGAAAAGCCACTCCATACTGGGCTTATAGTCTAGATATTTGATAGACCTTCCAGACAACCACAGGTATCTGATATTATTGAGCATTGGAAATACTTCCTCAAAATTAAGCCAAAAATATTTCTGACTCTAACTTCCATACCTCCTCCTGGTCTGCAATGTTAGTAAGGTAGTTTGGTCATTGAAGACAATTATCTCCAAAAAGAGATCTGTTCCTCTCACCTGCTCTATGGGTAATAGGCAGGTCAAAGACATTGAGGAGCTACATAGATTTATTTTGAAAAACTGACATTTTGCTCTGCCCATTCATGAACATGGTGTATCTTTCTTTCCCCTAACCGTTACCTCAGGCAGGACTGGTTGCTGTACCCTATGAACATCAGCATGGTTAAAAGGGGGCCTAGGGGACTCAAACTTAATTATGGGCAGTCACCTGGATTCTCTTATTGGATATATGTATATAGTCCTAGATTATGAGAATATTGAATATTTGCATAAGCATACTCTAAGCCAAGTATGCTATGGTAGCCCACCTTGGCAAAAGTGGGCAATGTTATGTGTCTCTGTGAGTTTTATAAAAATGCACTGTTGTATAATATTTGATACTTCCAAATGAAAGATCTGGATGCAAATAGAAGATGACTGAAAAACAAATGGCACAATTGCTATGTGAATGGGAAATGCTGATTTTGTGCCAGTGAAGGGAGAGCAACAACCTTAGCACTTGGATGGAGAATGAATAAAAATCTTAGGGGAGAGTTAGGGACATTGAGACACGCTGTTTGTCAGAGCCACTCTGGAGGCATCCTCCTAAATGAAAACACCGTGATACTCATCTCCCAAACTGTTGCAAGAGCTTTATATTAAACTGACTTTCTGCGTCCGCCATTCCTACCAGACTGCTCCTACCATGATTTGAAAATTATCCCCTCAAACATAGAGAGAAGTTCATCAGAAAGAGTACACAGAGTCCTAGCTTCTGCACCTCACATACAAATCATCTTTCAACACCCCCATTTATCAATTTGCCATTTACCATTTGTCAAGGCTTAATCATTGCATGGAGCAGACAAATGTCACCAGGCGGATGACAAGACAAACAGAACAGATTAGACTGGCTCCCCCTCCAAACACAAAGACTAGTTTCAACCATTTGAACTAAGTTGGGAAAACTAATACTGACCAGCTGGCCTGGAGGCTCCATCAGCCTGTAGCCTCCAACTTGTGTAGGTCCCACTTGGGAGGCCCAATAATTGTAAATAGCATTATCTCCATGGCACTGTGACACCTTCAGGAATGGACTTCCTATATAAAAGCCAGTCATGAACTTATTTCCCTCCTGAAAACACAGTGACATATACCTTAGAGGTATTCATAAGAGACCTCCAAGTGTTTAAGGAAACACCACCAGTGGATCAAGAAAATCTCAGATAACTGTAGGAATCTCTTTAAAGCTAGGCTACTCAGGGATGCTTCCAGGAGGAATGACTGTTTTACATCCTGTGGGCTGTTATCCCTAGATAGAAGTTATCCACATAGAATAGGTAATATAGAATTTGTCCTTGAGTTTAGCTGAAGTGATCAATGACACCACTGGAGTTGATGATGGAGTGTATTCCCTTGGGAAAAACTTGTCAGATGCCAAGACAGTATAGAAACAAGGTGTGGATATTAATGAAACACAAGTCTTTATCAGTCCCACGGAAATCTGCTTATACTGGAAGTAAAGGCACTGGTTGCCTTTGTGCTTTGAAGGATGTTTGTTTATCAAACAGCCTTGGAAGATAGAGATGGTATCTCCCTCCAGGAATAATTATTGTCCAGCAAAATAAATATAATGTCTCCCTCCAGAGCAAAGGCTGGCATGCCTAACTTTACACAATACTAAGTACCTAAGCTCAGGGGTTTTCTCCTGTATTGCAAACAAATGCATGTGCTGGTGTCATCTACTATCTTAGATCTAATTGCTCTTCCATGCCCTTCGTCCACAGCCTTCCTCCAGTCTTGGTATTTTTATTGTTTTCCATTCACATTGAAAGTTGGCTCTGTCTTCATGGCCCTTCATGGTTCTTCACTCATCTTCTTTGAATGTCTCCCTCATGTTGTGCTTCCTTGAGCTGTCCTACTTGGTTAGCTCTAGAACTCCTCTGTCTCATTACACTTTGAGAAAATTCTGAATCTGACTTCTCTCACAAGAACAAAATACAATGTCCAGGAGGAAAAAAACAGTAACATCAAGACTGAGAAACTAGAAAGTGTTTTGATCAACATTTTCTTTTTAGGACTGTTTTCTATTTGATTGGGAAGTGTTAGAATGGCAACAGTGACAAATCCTGTGGCAAATCTTCATGCAAAGGTAAGTGATGGCTATATATATATAAAAAAAAACAACTTAGAGTTAGGCTCCCAATGTGGCTCCATGAAGTCCACAATTTACATTTCAGGTAAGCAGGATCATTGAAAGCAAAGCATTCTTCTATGGAAGCTGTGTCTCCAGTCTCCATGGTTTAAAGAGGTGCAGTCTAGTTGCAATTAAAGTTAGGCTTTGGGTTCTGGCAGGCAAGGGTTCTATTACCAGCTCTGTCATTTACAAGCTGTGTAACCTTGGGCAAATTACTTAATCTCCTTTAACCTCAGTGTTGTAATGTATAAAAAGAAATTATAAAGGTGCCAATGCCAGGGGTCATTAAATAAAGTATGTAAACCATCATAGTTGACAATTGTATGTGCTTATTAAATGTTAGCAACTCTCCTAAGTCCCATGTATAGGCAGAAAGCAAAGACTGGATTTGAACCCAGACTTTTGATTCAATGTTTATATAAAAATGGTCTATATGAAGTGATCCTAACTAAAAGATGATTTATTTGTATGACTATTGTAAGCTCAGAATGTCATAACAGATGTAAAAGCACATTAAAATTGCTATAAAATATGACATTATTGTTAAACACATAAGTAAACAAACAGATGTGGTTATTAATCTCAGACCAAGAGATTTTATTATTCAAAGCACTTTCAGAACACATAGTTATATAACGTAAAAGATGAAATTACTTGGAAAGTGTTTGAGAAATTAGACATCTTTAAAAGCTCTCATTCTAACTGTACTATTTGGATGATAGATCATTAAAAGATTTCATAGCTATTTCTCTGTTAGAAAATGTTCTCATTCACAACATAATCTTTCACAATATATGTTATTTACCAGATACTTAGATTTTAATCTAATCTTGGAGTATTAATGTTTAAAATGAATATTACAAAAACCCTAAGAAATAACTATCAAGCAGATAGAAACAACCAAAGTACCTGTAATAAAAGTCACATAAACTTCTGCAGTACAAATTGGGTTAGTATTTTATATCCTTTATAGGCAGTAAATGCTCTATTTTATCATGTAAAGTCATTTCTAGCTACTCCATGTAAATCAGAAACCTGATACAATGTATCATAACACTCTGCCCCGTAAATACTTTTTGAGTCATACTTTGTTGACCTTACCATCATATGTGTTTATCAAACACATTCACAAAACCTACTTGTAAAATACATATTTATGGACGCTTGTCAAAATTTCATTAGCTCTGTTCTAAGCATTCCAGAGGTGTCAGAATTTCTCCACATAATCTATGTTCATATGAAGCCATGAAGTCATGAAATCAAACCTTTCACAAACAAATGTATTTTCCCCCGGCCTCCTTTACATCTGAATTTTTTCCCAGAGACTTGAAATCTTTCACAGTCATTCCAGTGTGATGGTAACTATACCAGAAAAGAATGTCACAATGTTTAGGTGTTGTAGGGACAAAAGTACTATGAAAACAGTGGGATCCTAAAGCAAGGCATGATCAATAGGCTACCCTTTAAAAGTGATAGTCTCTAAATATTTCTTTTCCATGCATTTAGGATAGAGGCTAAGAATTTCATTGTGAAAACGGGAAAGGGGCCACTGCTCTGCATGGTTAGACTAATACAGAGCTTAGTACCTCCTCTTAGTCCAGGTTAATCAGCTTGGTCTTAAAACTCCACACAGTATTCAGCAAAACCAAAGCCCCTCAGAGAACTACATCCACCACCTGAGAAGCCGCCATATTTTATTACACCCTCCAAGCTAAAACAAAATATTTCTTTCTGTTTCATAGAATATTTTTCCTGAGAGAAAATAAGGAAACACCATTTTCACCATCTTGTTATGTTTCCAGAGATATCTGATGCCGCGATAATGTTTTGACATACTTGAAAGACTAGTTCTCTAGCCAACTTCCTGACTGACTCCTTTTTCATTCTGTTCTAGGTGCTAAGAATTCAGTGATGAAAACATGATGTATCCTAGGCATGGAAATAATATTCTAGTGATTTCTTCTTGACAATTAGATTATGTTGAATTTAGCAGCGATTTTTTTTTAACTTTTACTCTAGTAGTTTGTTGGACTCTTTTTCCCCATTTCCAATTTTTTGAATTATGAGTTAATTTTCTTCCTTCTAATTCTCCTCAGTTTTATTCTCCATATAATTTGCATTGTATTTCCATTTTAAAATCCAATAAAATAAAAATCATATAAATGCTGAAGCATCAAAATTTCTCTCATTCCCAAACTCACTTCATTTCTAGGTAAAATTGTAGCATACACTAACAAACACTGTCCAGCCGAGAAACAGCAGTATTGGAATCCTCAGCCCAATTTTTCATTAGAAAAAGTATAGAATATCTTACCCATGCTCACTGTAATACTCATTTACCAAAACTGATAAAAGGACTTATTTATTGTAGAAAATATGGAAAAATTCAGGGTATTTTCCGCACACACACAAAAAAGATCTTTTCTGGTGCCTATAAACCTTAATTTTTTTTGTGCCTATTATTATGACCAATTTCTTTATAATTAAATAGCTAATCACCATCAGTATACTTGATAATCAGGTAGTGAATTAAGAGTGTAGAAAACACTGCTAGCACACCAATCCACTACACTGAGTTTGAGTCTTTTTATATCAGACAAACTGAGTGAAAGGAGTTTGGCTTAAAACAAGGAAGTCCACAATTTAGTGGAAAAATTATTTATATATATATATATATATACACACATATACATATACATCAAACTATTTGGTGTGTGTGTGTATGTTTGTGTGTATGTGTGTATGTATATAGATAGAGAAAGAGAGGAGTTGATCATATTGTCATCCCATAAAAACAATTTTCAGCAATTTTCTCCATTTTCAAATTTCCTGATGGCTTCCTTTCATTTTTGCTTTATCATTTCTATTTATTTTCAGGTCTTTGGTGTTTCTTTAATTTCATATATATTACCTACTATGTGACAAGCACACTGTGCCAGGTTCCAAATATAAAAGGTAAGGTAAGTCACGTGAGCACCTGTCTTCACTGAAATTATAGTGTAGTATGAAAACAAACATTAAAGAAATTCATGGTTTAATAAATATATAATTTCAAATTAAGTGCTATAAAGGAAAAGAGCAAGAAAATATATGAAAAAATAACTGGAACCACAGAATGTAAATATTTTTATTAGTAAATAGTTGGCACAGCTTAAATGTCCATCAAAGGATTTTATCTAGAAGTAAATAAACAGACTATAATTGATATATGAAGGAAATAAAACACCTTAATTTGCACATTAAAGAGCCGACCTTCAACAATAGGCAACCAGATGGTTAATAAAACAGAATGCCATTTATTGAATGCTTATTATGCTCCACATTTTATGCTAGACCCTTCACATATCTTATATTAGTTGAGTTTCATAACAACACTATAAGGTAAGCATTATTTTTCCCATTTTATAGATTTGGTATTAACTAATTTCTTCTTTTTCTGCACATACATTCACACACACATAAATATAACCAAACAAGCAGAGTCAGCATATTTGGCTAAAATGTATTTATTCATTCAGAAAAAAAAAAAATTATCAAACATCTACTATGTGCCAGGCATTGTTCCAAACATTTGGCATAAATCAGTGAATAAAACAATCAAAGATCTCTGTGTTCATGGGGTTTACATCCTTGTGAACAGAAACATACAATAAGTATACAAACAAAAGTAATAAAATATAAATTATACAGTACGATTATGATATAATAAGAAAAAATATGTGGCTTTATTATGAGAATAAAAGTGGCTTAAGTTAAGGAGAATGGGAGCACAGTGGTGAGAGGTGCTTGCAATTCTAGGTAGGGCAAAAAGTAGGCACACATTTAAGCTGACATTTAATGAAGGTAACTTGGACAAGGCGAAGGAGTTGGCAGGAGTCTATCTGGAGCCATAGAGCTCCAGGCAGAGAGAACAGCAAGTGCAGAGTCCTCAATCTGTGGGCTTGTATGCTGCGTACCAGGAAAGACCAAAGAGGAGAGTGTGGCTAGAACCAAGTAAGCAGGGAAGAAAGAAGAAATAGAATCAGTAGGGAAAATAATTCCGTATGGTCCTATATAATTCCTTTCATTTAAATAATATTTAGCTCTTATTTATTGCAGGAAATGAAAGTATTCATTGCAGATAACTTCTAGATATATATCCTCCATCTTCCATAAATGTATATATAATATGTACTTATATTATATTTTATATATTATATTTTTTATATATTACACATTTATATATTATATGATATATATTATATAATATAAATAATACATCATATATAATATATTTGTATACATTATATATTTTTGTATTCTATAAATGATAATATTTATGTATTATATATTATATATTTATATATACAAATATATTTATATATTTTATATACATGTTATATATATAATATAGAAAGAGTATTTTGGAACCAAAAAAAGGAATCATATTCTACCTAATATTTTATAAATCAACATAATTTTTATATGCAAGCAACCAAATTGTACACATTTATATTATTCCAACTGTTACCCAATGTCTTAGCCATCTTAGGCTGCCTTAACAAAGTACCATAAACTGGATGGCTTAAATAACACAAACTTATTCCTCACAGTTCTGGAGTCTGAAAGTTTGAGATCAGGGTGCCTGCATGGTTGGGCTTTGGCAAGGGTTCACTTCCTGGCTTGCAGATAAGTGCTTTCTCCCTGTATCCTCACATGGTGGGGAGGGAGAGTGTGTGAGCATGTTTCTGGTATCTCTTCTCATAAGAGCACTAATTCCATCATCATGTCCTCACCCTCATGATCTCATCTAAACCTAATTACCTCCCCAAGTCCTCATCCCCAATACTATCACACTGGGGATTAGGGCTTCAACATATGAATTTGGGGGAGATAAAATTCAGTCCATAGCATTCTATTATTTCTGAACATTGAGACTTAATTGATTTTTTAATGGTATAAATAACCCAGAGAAAAAATAAATAGTGGAAAATTAATTAGAAACTAAAAGAAACATTTAAAAAATAAGTCATAAGGATTACAGAATTGCTATTTATTGGGAAAACAAAATCACCAACTTGAAAAATCAGATATTGTGGATATTAGTTTTTATAATAATAGTTCTTCTACTAAGTCTTAAAGCCAAACAAATTGCTTCAATTATACTTTTCTTGAACGTACTGCTTTTTACAAAATTATTTTCAATTGAACCACATGTTATTTTTTTTGTTAATATGACCTAAGTCAATTGATGCCAAGTGAAATGGGGAATTGAGATGTATTTCCATGAAATTGCAGCTTTGATGACCTAAATTATTTCTGTGGATCAAATTAGGTAAATAAAGCTTATTATCACTTAAAATGCAGAAGGGACTCCACTAGGCCCATAATATATACTTAATAAACACTTGTTGATTGGTTGGTTAGCATAGACAAGAAGGCATGGAATTAAATGGAAATGACACTGTTTCCAGTCATTGATGAAAGCCTTGCTATACCTTGCAAGAAATATTGGCATTATATTCAGTGAAGGACAGCATGCAACAGCCCCAACCACACAAAATAAGTCAACAAATTCAAGAAGTTCTAGGTATTCTCATTCTCATCAGACTTATCAATAGGAAACTGACAATAACATTACTTCTATTTACATATTGGTGCCACACTGGCATGGATTTGCATAATGTATTGAGGCTCTATGCTCTAGAGAGCTGCATTGTAACATATTGGTGCTTAATGAACTCTGAAAAAATTGATTTTCCACAGAGTAAATTAAGGAATGCATTATAGCTGTTAAAGCAATCTTAAGGGAAATCCGAAGCTTCCACTGCAGCACCATGCTTAGTAAGTAATAAATTACATGTTATAGTTATTTGCCTTAATTCATGCTAATTTTGTCCAATTAATGTATCACAGTAATTCAGAAGCCTGTCACAGGAGAGCTAATTATTTATGGGATTTTTGTGTTCAGCTCCCTAGGAGTCTACTAGCAAACAAACTTGCGACTGTCTTTCTCTCAGGTCCACATTGACATTCTTATGTCTCACTGTAGGGAAGTAAAATTTTTCCCACTGTTTCCAGTTTTAAAAATTGTGGGGTATCTAAGGCCTGTTCTTGGTTTTTTGATTGATGAAATAGTTTGACAGCCTGCTGCTCTGTTAGGACAAGACCTACTTTCTTCTGTATCAAACTATTTCATCTTATAAGTCTCTATATTTCAGAACTCTCATTAAGGAAAAAGACAGTTTTTAAAAAACTATGCACCCAAGGTGAATTGAAAAAGTGCAGCAATTATCTGGATAATTCACACCAGAATTCCGCACTTATATTCCTTTTATTATTTTTAGAGCACTCCAACAGATTGTCTAGATACTTGTATTCACCTCATCTGCACAGTCTTGGTTCTAAACCTTAAAAAGGCCACATGCAGTATGCTAAAATGTTGTTTGAAAAAAGATTGAATCTAACTCACAATGACAATTGATATCAGCTTTGTAAAAGTAGATTTTTATTTTACTGTGGTGCCCTGCTAATTCACAGCCCCCCAAATGAATTATTTATGAGATTAATTTGTTCAATTCATACCTATAAATAATGTGGCAGTTGCTAAATAATTTGCACACTATGATAAGATGCAGACATCAGAGTCAAAAAGGCAGTGCTTCGCCAGCTGAGAAATGTTCACTATCTTCTGGAATCCTGACAGACCCAGGCATTTGCAAACAATTATTTGCAGAGTAGGAAGCCTTTGATTTCCTGTTTTGCTCCCTCCTATGAGTATCAGGAGACACTTGTCTGCTAATTATCATCTTCCAGCCAAATGAAAAAGAGGTGACACCTCTTTAAATCCATGATGCAGTGATGTTTACCAGCAAGTCCTATCACAGTGATCCAAGCTGGCAGTAGGTAAAGCACACCACTGTTTGTGTCACACACAGAAAAACTTTACAACCCTCTTTAATTTGATGGGAGGAGGAAATGACATCTTTGTACTCAACCACTTTATACTAGCTTGTTTGCCTTTAACCAATTGAGTATCTGAGAAGCAGCACACTTCTCCAAGCTATGTACAACTTTATACTTTAATGCATGATTACTTCAGAGGAAACTGCCACCACCTACTGTATAATGTTATTTTTCCTTCCTCTCAGTTGTTTTTATTACCCATTCAAAACTGGAAATAAAAATTATTTTCTTACCAATTAGCTGTCTTCTCCATATGGCATTTAGGTTTCAGCCACTTCTTTCTTTCTGTTATTCTTTTTAAAACTATAATTTAAAAGGTTAAAGTGAACATGTCACTTCCTTGTTCCTTTCCTTATAGGACAGTGGTATTATGAATGATATTACTTGTTGGGAAAATACATTTGCAACCATAGCTTTGGCCTTTGTTAATTTTGACAAGTTGGAATAAATAAAATAAAGTAAAATAAAATACCTGCCTTATTACTGAATAGAAGTGCTCCATGGTAAATGCAGATGTGGAAGACTCATGTTGATTATTTCATATGTATTCCTATTCCTTCTAAGGTCTAAACTCTCCTAACACACACCACCCCACTGCACAGTATTGAAGCCTTGCACTGCGTTGAGTGTCTTTTCTTTAATGAAAGACTTAAACATTTTTGCCCTCTTGATTCATCCTTTGCATACATTTTCTTTCCATCAAATTTTATAGGACCATGACAATAAAATCTTGAGTCCTCACTGCATGCTAACTGAGAGAATAAAAGTTCAACTTCAACTTTATCCAACCTGTATATTTTAGATTAGTTAATTTTTTTTCTGGATTCCTAAAAATCTTAGTACATTAGTAAGTTAGTGATGCAGGACAGGTAAGTATCAAATTGGGGCTTAGCCTGGGAGGGTTCTTGACTTTGCTCAAGAAAGAATTTAACACTGAGCTGGTGGTAGAAGAAAACAGCTTTATTGAGGCAGCAGTGTTACAGCTCCATGACTGCTCCTACAGAGCAGGGCTCCATAGTGTGCTGAGAGTAGCAGCTTAGAGGCAGTTCTGCAGTCATACTTATAACCACTTTAAATTACATGTAAATTAAGGGGGATTATGCAGAAATTTCTAGAAAAAGAGTAATAACTTCCAGGTCATCAAGTTACTGCCATGGAAAGGGATGGTAACTTCTGAGTGTTGCCATGACAATGGTAAGCTGACATGGCACATTGGTGGGCATGTCTTAAGGAAAGCTGTTTCCACCTTGTCCCTGTTTTAGCTAGTCCTCAATCTGATCTAGTGTCTGGCCCCACCTCTAGAGTTGAGTCCTGCCTCCTACGCCAGTAGGACTAGCCAGGCCATAGCATCTATGTTTTGCTGATCCTTGAGAACACAAAACCTGGCATGCAGGGTCTTCTGACTATAGGTCTCTTCAGCTCAGATAACTTAAGTGTTTGTCCTGTGTTTTACAGGTTCTTTTCCTTCTCAGCGTTCTGACTTTACCTCCCTGGACTTGTTTGGGAGACAATCACTCTGAGCCTTGTCAGGCAGGCAGGACAAGGCTGCAGGTGGACCGAGCAGAAACTGCCTTGGTCTATGGCTGGCTGCAGGACCCCTGGGCCTAAACTGCTTCACCTTTAAAGCATGGCCAGCCAGAGCAGATAATCACTAAACTTCCAGGTGTAATGTTTTGTTTTTCTCTAAAAGCACAGTGACAACAGGGCTTAACAAGTAATATGAAGATTCTTCCTGTCCTGCAGAGACAGACCCAGGCCTAGGAAGGGATAAAGAAAGTTATTGTCTCCCTCAACCTTTTTAAATAAGGAAAAAAGGATACTATTGGGTTTTTTTTTTGTTTTTGAGAAATTTAACTAAGTCTTGTTCTTTTTCTGAGGTGCCCACAGTCTAGGTTATCATTTGTTCCATTTTTAGTAGCATTTTAGGCTCTGGAACTGAAAGATTTTTGTGTCCCAAAGTCTAAGATAATGGTGACAAAGATCTGTTTGTCCACCTCCACTCAGCGGGTCTGAGGATTCTGCGCCTCAAGGAGGTGGGGCAAGGTCAAATTCAGCATCTCCCCGTAGGAATCAGAGGAAGCAGCATGGTGCTGAACACTTCTCTCTCTCTCTCTCTTTTTTTTTTTTTTCTTCAGACAAGGTCTCCTTCTGCCACCCAGGCTGGAGTGCAGTGGCAAGTCACAGGCAAGATCATTACATACTATGGCCCTGAACTCCTGGGTTCAACGACCCTCCTGCCTTAACATCCTGAGTAACTGGGGCTACAGGTGTGTGCCACTGCACCTGGCTTCTTCTTCTTTTTTTTTTTTTTGTTTTTAATAGTATGGCTCACACTCCACAAAGTAAAACCAATTATTGAATGTTCCCAACACAAAGAAAGATAAATGTTTGAGATGATGGATACACGAATTACTCTGATCTGATCACTATACTTATCTGTATCACATCACTGTGTACTCCATATGTACAATTATTATGTCAATAAAGACATTTTAAAACTTTTAAAAAGGAACACCAATTAGGAGACACAGAAAAGCCTAATTTAACTAACTTTATTTTTCAGTGAAAAAGAAAGAACGTATCATTGAAACTTTAAAAATAACATCTATTTTAAGCAGGACCATTTGCTTTCTCTTCTTTGATGTAAACCTAAGCTTTTCATGCTATAATATGTTGTCAATATTTTCCCATCTTATTAAATCTGCTGTGACAACAACACTTTAAGGATATTTAAATCATTTTCAATCTTTCTCCATTATAAACAATACTCTAATTACCATTCCTAAAATGTATCTGTGTTAGGAACTTATGGCTATCTATAAATGCCCTGGTCCCACACAGACTAGTGGAATCACAATCTTTGAGTATGGAACCTAGTACCTGTATTATTTAAAAGTGTCCCCAGGTGATTCTAATGAAAAATAGGTAAAGCAAAGGCTGTGAAAGACGTTAATAATTTTTGACCTTAGGTTTTGACTCTTGAAATGGTCAGGGACACATAATACTTCTACTTAGGATTTTTATTATTTTTACTTAGAAACAAAATTAATATTTTGTGGATGAGAATCCTAACTAACCTTTCTTTCTTCAGCAATCCTCCTATCAACCACTTAAATATAAGATCCTGATGATGGAGGTGCTTTCATAATACTATTTGTTGCCCACTTTCCCTTTCCTGGGAAATATCTTAGAAGCATGTAATGCTAGTGGTTTAGAAGAGTCCTCAACCTTTTTGGCACCAGGGACTAGTTCTGTGGAAGACAATTTTTCCATAGCCGGGGTGGGTAGGGGCAATGGTTTTGGGATGTTCCACCTCAGATCATCAGGCATTAGATTATCATAAAGAGCATGCAACCTAGTTTTCTCACATGCACAGTTCACAATAGGGTTCACATTCCTATAAAAATTTAATGTTGCCGCTGACCTGACAGGAGGTGGAGCTGAGGCGATAATGCTCGCTTGTCCACCATTCACCTCCTGCTGTGAAGCTCGGTTCCTAAGAGGTCACAGATGGGTATTGGTAGACAGCCGGGGGTTTTGGGACCTCTGGTTTCGAATAAACAGGAAGAATTACAAGTGGTTTTTATGCAGTCTACTACTATTAAGAAATGAATGACTAATACATCTTATTTCCTGTGCCATAAAATATAGATACCTTTAAGTGGTGCTGGATGGTTAGTGGTCAGGATATCAGTGTTGTCCGCTTGCTCCTTCTGGGATAGGACAACAGTATTCTTCAATGGCTCCTCTTTGATACAGTGCAAAAAACAAACAAACAAAAAAAAAGTTAAAAGCTCGGCAACAAAACAAGCACATTTAAGAAGTAATTGTTAATGCAGCAAATATCCATCTATTTATAATTTAATTAAAATATTTACTGAGGAATATTAAGAATCACTTACTCTCCTCTGTGCTGAAGCTACCATAGGACATCAGACAGTCAAGGTTCTAACTCTCATGGAACTTGAAATCTATCAGGAAAGGTGGGCAGAAAGGAGGAAGTGAAGAAAGAATGGAAAGAGGGAAGAAATGTCAGATGGATCCCATGCTGAAAATTAGAGATGTTATGGAGGAAGTCCGAAACAGATTCTTTAGATTGTGTTGTCAGGAAAGCTTCTTGGTAGAAGTGACAATTTAAGGTAAGATCTGAATGGCAGGAAAGAACACCAGTCGTTCATGGGATAATCAGAGACTAAGAACATTTCTGGATAAGAAAAGAGTTACAGCAAAGAAAATTCTAAGATGAAAACATACTAACAAAAAAAAAATAAAACCTGAAAGAAGAACTAGTACATAGTCTATACAAAAGATCATAATTATCTCAATGTCTCTTAGAAATTAATAGGTCACATTTCCTAACAAATCCTTCATGGCTAGTATAAGCATTACACTCCCTAGTAAGAAATCACAAGTGACAGCTGACATCTACATCATTGTTGGGGTTCAATTCCTACAACTCTTCATTGGTCCTAATCTGCTGATGTTCAGACTCCCCTCCTAGTATCCACATTCTTGGCTCCGTGCCTCAGTTTTGCACTCTCCTTGTCCCACCACTAGGCTTTTTGCTTTCCCTCTAGGCAGCTCCAGTCTCAATTTCCCTGCTTAAATTTTGGCTTTGTCCATTAACCAAGGCAGGTTCACCAAGTGCTTTGCATTAGCCCCAGCCCCGATTATATTTTCCCACCCTTTTGACTGACATTCCAAAGCAGTCTACCCCCTCCTCCACCCCATTCCTGTGTTCCACCTGCAGCAAAGAGAGGCAAATTATATATTAAAATGTAAGGAAATTCTGTAATCATGACTGGACTGCTATAAACACAATTCTTCTTGAAACATGCACATGTACAGAACCCAGCAAGAATTTCTTTGTAGCAATGGTTCCATTTAATGAATGGCAGAAAAGAAGAGTAAGACTACATAAACACCACGATCTGTTATGAGTCACTTGGTTTGTTAGGTAGAGTCTGATAATTATTAACTATCAAGAATGAGCTTAGTAAATTGAGAAGGCTTTTCTTGTTTCTGCACTTCAGAAGTTTTGATTTTATTAGAAGTCAAAATTGTAGGGAAAAAATTTCTTTCACTTCCAGTTACAGAGAGGATATTAGGCTGCGTAGATCCAATTGTCCGCCTTCTGGAGTTCCACTGAACTGCTTAACCAGATGTCCAGCATTAGGCATGCTTATTCAACCACACTTGACGTTAAAGTGCCATGCTCACATCAACTGCATTGTAAAGACAAAAGATAAATGATATTTTGGTAATGAGAATAACCAACTTGAGTCCATGATTTTAGCATGTTAAGGGTTAGACCTATGTAAATTTATTTCATATTTGTGAGCATGTATTTTCATTTTTTGAAGTTTATTGA
The DNA here is from genome assembly GCF_000001405.40 of Homo sapiens. Taxonomy (NCBI): domain Eukaryota; kingdom Metazoa; phylum Chordata; class Mammalia; order Primates; family Hominidae; genus Homo; species Homo sapiens. The sequence goes on along the minus strand of NC_000007.14, from coordinate 115,117,109 downwards.
GTGTGCCAATAGGAGGACTAACTCTAAAAGTCATTTTTTAAAAAAATGCAATTGTCAACATGGCACAATTTGGCACTTCCTGCACAAAAGTGCTGTTTATTTAAATTGCTTCCTCCTGGTATGGGGCAATGAGCACTGGATTTGGAGCACTGTATTTGATAATGACTTCCAAGTTTTTTTCTCCTGCATAGATCTTGCTACTGATCTTGAGGCATATATGTTACTCTACTCACATCCGAGTATTCCTTTAGGTACTTCATACCTCACCTGTCTAAAAGAGAAGCCAGTAGTTCTCACTACTGTTCACACACACACATAGTCACACAGACATATGCTACTTTTCATTATTGTAGTTACTGAACATGCCTCAAGGGGTTTACACCTGCTGTTCTTTCTGCCTGGAATGCCCTTCTCCCAGATTTCTACATAGCCCACTCTCTCCTCTCCTTCCATCTATGATCTCTTCTAAGTGAAACCTTCCCTGACCGCCTATTTAAAAATGCAATTTGTTCACAGTATTCTCTATCCTCCCTTTTTCTTTTGTTTTTTGATAACCCTTAAAACTATCTGATATACTATATATTTCAGGTATTTATGTAATAAATATATAATTGTATAAATAAATTATTATTATTTATTTTTGTCTAGCAATCTGCCTTCAGAAAGGAAGTAAATTTTTTGTCTGGGTGATATTAAGTAAATTAAATTCAAGAAGCCCAGATTCCTTATCTGTAAAATGCCAATAATAATAATTATACCTATGTCATAGGATGTTATGAACATTAGATAGGTAGTACAGTGTATGTAAACCACTTCATACAATGTTCATACATTACATGTAGTCCAATACAAGTTAGATAATTCTCTTTATTTTCTTAATCTGTAAAATGAAGACAGTGCTGCAGTGGGTTGAATGAATGACCCCTAAAAGATCTGTCTACATCCTAATCCTGGGAACCTGTGAATGTTACCTTAATTGAGAACAGGGTCTTTGCAGATGTAATTAAGCTACAGGTCTTGAGATGAAAAGATCATCCTCAAATATGTGTGTGGGCCCCAAATTCAATGACAAGTGTCCTTATAAAAGATACACAGAGGAGACAAAGACAAGAGGGGAGGTGGCAATGTGACCATGCAGACAGAGATTAGAATGATGCAGCCACAAATCAAGGAATGTAACAGTCACCAGAAGTGGGAATGGATTTTCCCCAAGAGACCCCAGGGGTAGTGCATCTTTGCTAGATTTTGGAGTTCTAGTCTCTAGAACTGGGGGGGAATACATTTCTGTTGTTTTAAGCCTCCGAATGTGTGGCGGTTATTACGGCGTGCCTAGGAAACTAATACACTATCTCATAGAATCCTTGAGAGATTGAAGAAGTTAATGTGTGATGAGGGCTTAGTGCCTGTAAATAACACATTAAATGAACATCAATTGTTTTTAGTTACCAGCCAAATTGTAACTCAGTTATATATCGGGAGTCCTCTGACTTTGAATGCATTGTGAAATGAAATAAAGAAAGCCCCCATGGTTGATTTCTTCGATCTAAACTTTAAGCCGATTTGTTTCATTTCCATCTGTCTATAATAATTCCTTTAGGAAATCTGTTGCTCTGTTGTTAATTTTAACTGTATTTGCCGTTAAGTTCTCTAGGATTGCAGAACAAAGGGCACTGTGGCAATGTGAGAATGTGTTGTTCTCTGTTATATTCTAAAGGGATGTATTAATGATGGAGTTTTAAGCTAAACTTATAATTTCTAGGGTTTTATTGTGTTCAATCTCCAGTGTATCTGCCCTTTTAAAAGAATTGTTTTTTTCCCCCAAAATTTGAATCCAGTTCAGCACTAATATTTTGGAAGTATTCCATTTAAACTTTCACTCATACATTATATCTGGGTAATAAAATAAATACAGGAATGTCATTATTTAACACTTTATCTCTGAAATAGCAGAGTCAGATGACATTAGGTTTTTATATTTTCCAGGATGTATACTGAGCATGACACTGCTCTGCATTTTTCTTCAAATAATTTAGGTTATCCTTATACAAATCACCATTTTACCCTTTTAATTCAGGACTGTGATTTGCCATTTCAGTTAAATGCCCAATTAATTCATTAAAAAGAATAAATTGTTTGACTGGCTGATCCAACAGTCCAGCCACAGTGAACTGCAGGTGTATGCACCTGGAGAAAAGTGCTAGGTCAAGCACTGCCCAGTCCCCCAGTCACAAAGCACCACTGTTCTCTCTTCATCCAATAAGCTCCTATCTGGGAAGAACGGAAGGAGCGGGAGACATAGCAAATCACTGACCTCCAAATTCCCAAGAGGCCAGGATTACAGTAAAGGGGAAAATAAATGGGTGTGTTTTTCTATTTCTATTTTCTTATTAGAAAAGGACCACACAGAGTGAGCATCAGTAACAAAATAAAACTGTAAAAACAAGATTTTGGCAGGAAAGGGAGGTGTAAGAAGGAAGGTGAGAAGGACATATTTAGAAGTATTCCACCTCATTTTCCCTCGGAATAGTCAGCGAGCCAATAACATAAATCAAGAAAATAAAACATAAATTGTCTTTGAAGATCATTTATTATATATGTACAAGGTCAGCTTGGCGATCTATGGAAGCACAAGCAAATGCGTAATAAGTGTACTTGAATTGTTAAGAAATGAAATAACATGTTTAAAACCCCATTTGAATACATGAAATCCCAGAAAGCTTTTGTGCTTCCTTGAGCACTTTAAAACCAAGGATAGGAGAATATTATTTCTGGATACACCATTAAACTTTATTTAGAAAACAAAACTCGTTTTCTATTTAAATTATGGTAGCATTCCCCCAACAGTGTAGAATTATCCACATAGCTACACAAATCAAATGCAGCGTACTATAGGTGTATGCTAATTTATTTCTTATCAGTATATTACAGTGATTTGTTTCATAATCACATTTGATACAGAATTCAGTGAAAGTAATGGTGGTGAATACCTATGTAACATGGACAAAATATTGCTTCTAAAGTGGTAAATGAAAACTTCTAAAATATCAGATTTCAGATGAAAGTCCTATCTATGCGGAAAGGTAAACATTAGCTTTGGAAGAACAAATGAAATGTTTCTTAACAGGGTTGGCAAGATGCGTGGAAAGTATTCCTCATGCACATTTTTTTTTCCGCCTGAACAAGGGATAGTTTGTGAAGAGAGAAACTAGAGTAGGCAAAACAAGTTGGGATAGATTGTAAGCAACAGTTTAATGAGTAAACCATCCACAAATTCCCAGAAACTATTAGGCACTGAGAAGAATTGTCACTAAATATATGGTAGTGATTACCTTTAAAACCTCATTCAACTCAGAAACATGTATTTAATTATTCCTGTTATTTTTCTGAGTATTTTTACATGTGCACAAAATTTGCCCAGAGCCTGGAGACTGTAATTTTTCTCCATAAAATACATGGATTATCAGTATGTTTGGCTTTTACAAACATGGTTAGCATCCATGATTCAGACAGACACATGTTTAAAATGGCAGAAAATTCCAATTGTTCAGCAAAACGAATTGATAACAGGAACTTAAGGATGTATCACATGCCTGATATTAGACTAGATGGAAATATTGAGAAATATGACATGACTACTGTTCTCAAGAACTTTACCCATTTCACTGAAGAAAAAAAAACAACACACGAGAACTAAGTAATAAATGGGTACGTGTCATATACAAGCATCATAGGAGTTCAAAGAAGAGAGAATAAAGATGACATCAGGGAAGGCTAAGATTATGCTGACTGCAGAGAAATGCATGAATTAACTATGTCCGTCATTTTCAAGGGAGGAAGAATATCCACTAAGTGGAAAGAAAGGGTGTTACTTGAAAAGAAATGCATATTCAATATTACAACAATTTTATATATATATTTAAAAACAAACCAATAACTTCTGCTTTTATAATACAAATCAAGAGAAGCAAAGCTTTACAAACCCCCGTCTGCTAGGATAAGCAAAAAGCTATGATTCTTTAATGGAGTAAAGGAATGAGGAACATATCAGAATCCCTGGGGGCAGCAGAAATAATGGTTTCCTACAGTTGAGAAACACTGGAGGACGGAGCCAAGGTAATGTGAACACACTCTAGATGGGAGATGAGGCAGTTTGGGGAGAAAGTGAGAGAAACCTTGAGATGTAAGGAATAAAGTGAAGATATGAGAGTGAAGGAGGGTGTTTGTGGATAGGGATAAAGTGCCAAGCTGAGGAACTGGACTTGCTTTGATAGACAAAAAAAGAGCCATCTTTGATTCTTAAGCAGAGAATTGTTAAAATGAGTTTAGGAAAGCTAGTCTATCTGATATCGGCATATAGGGTGGAAAGGGAAGATTGAGAGAGAAGAAAATGGAAAAACATAGATGAGTTAGAAATATATTAGAAAAACAGCCTGATGAGCCAGAGTTGGAGAGAAAGTGAGATTAGTAGACTTTCTTCTGTCCCAAAGGAGAAGGAAAGCTATGACTTCAAGTCTGGGAACATAAAATCGTTTGTTTGTTTGTTTGTTTTTTGAGACAGAGTTTCACTCTTATTGCCCAGGCTAGAGTGCAAGACATGATCTTGGCTCACTGCAACCTTTGCCTCCTGGGTTCAAGTGATTCTCCTGACTCAGCCTCCAGAGTAGCTGGGATTATAGGTGCCCTCCACCACACTCAGCTAATTTTTGTATTTTAGTAGAGACGGGGTTTCACCATGTTGGCCAGGCTGGTCTCAAACTCCTGACCTCAGGTGATCCACCTGCGTTGGCCTCCCAACATAAAACAGATTTGTTGTAACCATGCCCACTCTCCCAACTTTCCCTCCCCAGTGTATGCAGGCAGGTATGCTCTTCTCATGCAGTTAAAGGTAGTTAGTTGGAAAACACACCATCAGTAGGTGTAGGACCCAGTACTAAAGGCTCAACATATCCCATGACTTGGTGTAACTTCTGCTTCTGTGTTGGTAGTCTAATTATACAAACAAGACTTAATTTCTTCTTCCAGTTATGTACATGACAATCAGGTAAACTCAAGAATAGTTAAATTATGTGTTTTTTCCACAAGTGTAAAGAATGCAGTTAAATGTGTGTTTTTTGTTTTTCACTTGTGTGTCTCTTCCAGCATATGTTCTAACTTGGCTATTAGTGAAATGGGAATGATACTTCAAAATCTCAAGTCAAGTGGTATTGAATGATTCCTTCCCAATTGTGGGTCCCCATGTTTCTTTTGTGGCTCTGAAAGTCATGCAAAAGTCTGTGTTGCCTGGCCTCTGGAGATGTTAGTAACTGCAGATCCAAAATTGTCTACTTGCAGAGGACGTAAAGTGAAGTGAGAATTTGTATGCCTGACTAGCTCATAGATTGAGTGGCTGTATTCTGTGGTGTTGGAATGAGAGAACTAAGTAGAAGAACTTAAAAATGTTTGGTTTCTACCTCACTCTGTTTTCCACAGTACTCTTAATCAAACTCAGATCTGTTGTCCCAAGCTATTTTTTACCTTGACATGGTGAGGTATGATTTTAAGTGCCAGTAATATGATTGTTTCCACAGTACTGTGACATTTGCTTTCTTAAAAATAATACATGTGGGCCACCCCAAGGACTCTACTGTCAGTGTCATTTTTAGTGATGTCAAAAAAGCCACTGCCAGATTTGACAAAGAAGACAAGCCTACAGATATAATCACCACTGCTGCCCAAGTCACTGGAGAATATGGTAGTGTTTGGAAGAGCTAGAAGTAAATTATTTAGTGCTTATTGTGCCTTTGTGTTCAACATACCACCACCTGGATAATGTGGTTTAACTCTATAGAAATCAGCAAGACAATTAATGAGGAAATACACAAATAATTTCCAGCTATTAATGTTTTTGCTGAATTTGAATAGAGTTTCAATTGAATCTGATATTTTGATGGAAGCAATGATAAATAGGAGAAAATAGCAGATAAACAAACAAAACAAAAGAGAAAAGAAGAGGGTGGAAGGTGTGGTGACAATATCTGATGATGTCTTTAACAATTTAGTTTCCACACCCCTCAAATCAAGACAGTACCAGAAAAAGGAAAAGTCAACCCCATATGTACAGTACTTTGACGTAATAACCTCCTCAGCAAGTTGCTAGAACTAACAATTTGTAACAAGTAATAGCTCATATGTAACTCATAGGATAGACAGCAAAGTGGAAATTGCTTACATTGAACATTCTTTCCAAGGACTTGAGTAAAATAGCATAAGGAATAATGATCAAGTCTAAATAGCAGCAGGAGAGGGAAACTGACCTTTTAAAAAAAGAAGCCAATACAAGTATTTGGAAAACTACCAGAGAAAGAGTAAATAAAGGCCAGTTCACATGGGAAGGGAATGGCCACAACCTTTCACAAGGTCAAGTCCTCATCAGAGTGCTAAGGGCAAGGGTGCAGGTCTCTGTGTGTGTGCACCTGGAATCGGCTCTGAAGCATGAGAACATTGTTCCTTCATTTCCTTCATCACTGCCCCCAGAGATAGCACCACTTAAAGGTGGTAGAAAGAGACAGGAGAGAAGTGAGAAGGCCTGAAAAATGCCTGAGAGGCAGACAACATTCCCTCCTGCACAGCTTCTGCCTCTTCTAGGAAGAAGAGAGGAGAATCACTTTGCATTGGATATAAAAGTTAAATTTTAAATATAAAGGGCAAATTCTTGAACACAAGAATTAGCCTCTTTTAATTGCCAAAAGTAGCAGAAAAGTTAGGAAATATTGCTAAAATCCTGTTAAGGGAAGAAAAGACAGAGGGGGCTCAATATAGAACAGTTGAAATTTATTTTAAAAAAATAAAATCGTTTCATATTTATCAATACATCTCACTAAAGCAGTTATATCTTCTTGCTAGTGAGTTAAGAGGCATTTTCATCTATCTTTCTTATCAATTAGCAACATGACACTCTGCTTTTGTTGTCTATTTGATCTTGATGTTTCACACACATAAAACTGGACCCACTGCTAAAACTTACTCTCCATGTCTACACTCACCACACCTCCATTTTTTATTTGATTTTCAAAACAGCTTTATTGAGATAGAATTCACATACTACACAATTCATCCATTGAAAATATATAAGGTGTAATATAGGTTCTTAGTATAATACAGAGTTGTGCAACCCTTATCACAATCTTATAACATTTTTATCATCCAGAAATTCCACAGTTTTTCATTATAATTTCCCCTTCCAGCCCTAAGCAACCACTAATTAACTTTCTGTCTATTTAGATTTCCCTATTCTGAATATTTTATACATGGTCTTCTGCTGCTTAACAGTTTTGGTGAACAACAGACCATATATACAACAGTGGTCCCATAGGATTATAACGGAGCTGGAAAATCATTACTGCCTAGGGACATCATAGCAGTCTTAATGTCATAGTGGAACACACTATTCACATGTTTGTGGGGATGCTGCTGTAAACAGACCTACTGCACTGATAGTCATATGAAAGTCTGGCACATACAATTATGTATGGTACATAACACTTGATCATAAATGACTACATTATACATGATTGCCTTATGTGTTTACTATACCATAGCTTTTTATTTTAGGGTATACTCCCTCTCTCTCTCTCTCTCTTTCTCTCTCTCTCTCTCTCTCTCTCTCTCTCTCTCTATATATATATATATATATATATATATATGTTTTAAAGTCCACTGTAAAACAGCCACAGGCAGGTCCTTTAGGAGGTATTTCAGAAGAAGGCATTGTTATCATAGAAGATGACAGCTCTGTGCATGCTATCACCCCTGAAAATCTTTCAGTGGGACAAGATATATAGGTGGGAGACAGTGATATTGATGATCCTGACCCCGTGTAGGCCTAGGCTAATGTGTGTGTTTTTGCCTCTGTTTTTTAACAAAGAAGTTTAAAAGTAAAAAAATAGAATAAAAAATTTTTAAAGACTTAAAGGCATACAGAATAGGGATATTAAAAAGAAAATATTTTTGTACAGCTGTACAATGTATTTGCATTTTAACCTAAGTATTATTACGGAAGAGTCAAAAAGTTAAAAAAATCAAGAGGTTATTAAGTAAAAAAGTTATAGTAAGCTAAGGTTGTTATTGAAGAAAGAAATGTTTTAAATAAATTTAGTGTGGCTTAAATGTACAGTGTTTATAAAGCCTACAGAATGCACAGTAATATCCTAGGCCTTCACATTCATTCACCACTCACTGCCTCACCCAAAGAAACTTCCAGTCCTGAAAACCCCATTCAAAATAGGTGCTCTGTACAGATGTACTTTTCTTTTAATCTTTTATTCCAAATGTTTACTGTACCTTTTCTATGTTTAGATATATTTGGACACACAAATACCATCGTGTTAAAATTGCCCACACTATTCAGTACAGTAACATGCTGTACAGGTATGTAGCCCAGGAGCAATAAGCCGTATCATACTGTAGTAGGCTATATACCATCTAGGTTTGTGAAGTACAATCTATAATGTTTGCACAAGGAGAAAATGGCTTAATGATGCACTTCTCAGAACACGTCTCTGTTGTTAAGCAATGCATAACTGTATAAGGAATCATACAATATGTGACTGATTTTTAGCATAATGTTAGAAGGTTCATTCATATTGTAGAGTAAATCAGAACTTCATTCCTTTTTGTAGTCCAATAATATTGCATTACAAAGATATACCAAATTTTGTTCATTCATCCTTTAGTTGATAAACATTTGAATTGTTTCTACCTTTTGGCTGTTAAGTATGATGCTACTATGAATACTGTTCCACAAGTTTTATGTGGACGCATGTTTTATTTCTCACAGGTATATATCTAGAGGTGAAACTACTGGGTTGTGAGGAAGCTCTGTTTAACCTTTTTAAAAAATGCCAGACTGTTTCCAGAGCAACTGTACTTTCTAAAATTTCTTTACATTCTCACCAACACTTACTATTACCTTTCTTTTTTATCATAGTCATTCCAGTTCATATCAGTGGTATGTAATCGTGGTTTTGATTTGCATTTCTGTGATGGTTAACTATAGGGACATATTTTCATCTGTCTAATGCCATTTTTATCTCTTCTTTGGAGAAATGCCTAGTTGAATCCTTTGCCTCTATTTTAATTCTATGAGTTTTTTAATCCACTTTTTTGATGGTGTCCTTCAAACTACAAAACATTTTTAATTTTTGTCTCATTTATCTGTTTGGCTGTTGTCATTGCTTGTACTTTTACTGTCAAATCTAAGAGATTATTACCTAACGAAGATTTATGAGACTCTGCCTATGTTTTCTTCTAAGAGTTTAATAAGTCAACTGCTATATTTAGATCTTTGATCCATTTTGAATTAATTTTTGTATGCGGTGTGATATAAGAGACCAACTTTATTTATTTGACCACAGATATGTAGTTGTCCCAATACCATTTGCTGACAAGACTCTTCTTCTCCCCAGTGAATTAATGTATTGACACCAACTTGATTTTAATGTAACTTCTTTGCTGAATTTTTTTCTCCATAATATGCTTTTGGCCTTGGCTCCAAGTTCTTGAGCCCAGATTATTTCTTATGACAAAATTTGGCACCCTAACTTTTTTGAGTAAATTTCTCTCTTCTCTGGCTGACCTGAAAACTTAAGCTACTAATCAGCAATAGCTAGTTGTTTTTCCCTCAATTCCTACAGCACTACCCACAGAAACCATCATAGCAAACTTTAAGGTACAGTTGAGCTTACTCCTGGTCTGGCCCACGGCCAGTGATTAATGATCCAATTTCTTCAAAAGTTACTTCTGTAAAATCACTCATACCTACGGTTGACCCTTGAACAACACAAGTATGAACTGCATGGATACACTTATATGTGGATTTTTTTAAATAAATGTATTAGAAAATTGGAAATCTGTGACAATTTAAAAAACTTGCAGATGAACCATGCGATTTAAAATATTTTTAAAAAATAAAAAGAAGTTGGCCAGGGACAGTGGCTCACACCTGTAATCCCAGCACTTTGGGAGGCCAAAGCGGGTGGATCACAAGGTCAGGAGATCAAGACCATCCTGGCTAACACAGTGAAACCCCGTGTCTACTAAAAATACAAAAAAAACTAGCCGGGCGTGGTGGCAGGCACCTGTAGTACCAGCTACTCGGGAGGCTGAGGCAGAAGAATGGCCTGAACCCGCGAGGGGGAGCTTGCAGTGAGCCAAGATCACGCCACTGCACTCCAGCCTGGGTGACAGAGCGAGACTCTGTCTCAAAAAAAAAAAAAAAAAATTAAAAGAAGTTTAGGTATGTTATGAATACATAAAATATATTACATATGAGTCTATTTTATCATATATTACCATAAAATACAGAAGAATTTATTGTAAAATGTTAAAATGTATCAAAGCTTATGCCCACACAGACCATACATGGCAACATTCACAGTCAGATAAATGTAAACAAAAGTAAAGATGCAGCATTAAATCATAATTGCATAAAATTCACTTTAGTACATACTGCACTACTGTAACAATATGGTAGCTACTTCCTGTTGCTATTGCAGTGAGCTCAAGTGTTGCAACTATCCACTTAAATCGCTGGTGATGCTAATGGTTTCCATGTAAGTGGGTGTTTCCAGTAAATTTTGTATTGCATTAAAAAGTGATTTCAAACTTCCAGAGTATTTTTCATCTGTTTAGTGCAATATCATAAATCTTGAGTAACACCGTGAGGCCCACACAAGGGGCCACCAGTGATGCTGGGAAGTGCTCCCAAATAGCAAAGTCATGACATTACAAGAAAAGGTTAAATTGCTCGATATGTATCATAGATTGAGTTTTGCCACTGTGGGCACCCTCCATTTCAGAGAATTCATCTTTTAAACAGGTGATGTAAACTTACAGTATTGATACAGTACAGTACTATAAATGTATTTTCTCTTTCTTATTTTCGTCATACCATTTTCTTTTCTCTCCATTGGTTTATTATAAGAATAGAGTATATAATATATATAACATGAAAAATAAGTGTTAATCAACTGTTTATGTTATTGTTGAGGTTTCTGGTCAACAGTAGGCTCTTAGTAAAGTTTTTGAGGAGTCAAAAGTTATACTCAGATTTTTGACTGCACAAGGAGTCAGCTCCCTCATAACCCCTCTGTTGTTTAAGGGTCAACTCTAAATCTTTAATCTCAGTCCCTCTCTCAGGCTCTAACCAGAAATTTCTAATCTCTGGCTGGTATCTCCAGATAGATGTACCGTTACTACCACAAACTCAAATAAATAAAACAATGTGTTACCCATAAAACTTGTTTCAACTCCAGAGTTCTGTTTTCCAGTGAGGAGAATTATCATTTTTTCTAATCAGTAGGCCTGAAACTTCAAATTCATTTCTAATATTCTTTGCTACCTTGTCTCAGTGTAGCAATTTTGTTTGTTTATTTGTTTGTTTGATCAGTGGACAAATCAGAACTACCTTCCTGGGAATTTGGATCTTAAGCAAAGACTATAATTTTGCAAAGACTGCAATAACAAACTACTACAAATTGGGGGCTTATACAACAGGACTCATTGTCTTACCATTCTGAAGGCTACAATCAAGGCGATGGTAGAGTGAGTCTAACCTTCTGAGTGTTCTGAGGGAGAAATCTGATCCACTCCTGTCTCCTAGCTTCTAGTGGTTTGCTGTCAGTCCTGGGTGTTTCTTGGCTTCTGCTACAATACCCTTATTTCTACCTTCATTTTCACATGGCAGTCTGTGTGCGTGTGTGTGTCTGTGTTTGTGTGTGTATTCACATTTTTCTCTCTATGTAAGAACACTGGTCATATTGGATTAGGGGCCCACCCTACTCCAGGATAACTTAATCTTAACTAATTATGCCTGCAATGACCCTATTTCCAAATAAAGTCACATTCTGAAGTTCTGGGGGTTAAAACTTCAACATGCAAATTTTGGAGGACACAATTCAACCAATAGCAAAGACACAGAAGACAAAAGGAGTTTAGGAAACCCTAGTAGACAATTTCTACTTTACTGCTGTTGAAAACACCAGAGCTTATTTGATTAGCACACTTTCTAAAAGTGCATTGTTTCCACAGGTCAGAATTATCCAGGAAACAGGCTCTGAGACTGAGATCTGCATGTGGGAAGCTTATTGAGGGATTGAAAAGATTTCCCATATATAGATATTTAAAGGACACATAGACCCGATAGAGCATACTTATGTAACACTTATTTAAAGACAAAAGATATGGTGCCATTAAAAAAAAAATTAAAAAAAGCAGGTACAAGCAAACATTATGGTCAGAAAGATATCCATACACTAGCTCCCATGGGCCTCATATGTGCAAGGGTTGTACTTCATAGCTGAATTCAACCAAGAACTATGTGAGAAAGTTTGGCTTTGGGAGAGCTCAAAGCAGAAGCTCTAATAAAATTTTTATGCCTCTCTGGTCTTGCTGTCAAACTAGGCTGTTTAACCAGTTAAAACATTTGGAAACCATCAGTAAAAACATAAAATAAAATTGGGGCTTGGCAGGGAAGTTTCAGACTTTTAACAGAATGTGATAAATCCTACTACCCTATACCCTAGTCTTGTCCAAGAGTCAAAGTCATACTTTCAAGTATCTCTAGAGCTAATGGTAGAGTTATCTCATTAAAGCAATAAATCAGCTCCATCCTCTGTAAGATTGATCTTGGGATCAAAACCTTCCTCTAAGGCAGTGAAATGAAACATATTGGGAAGTAGGAGAGGTTGGGATGTGGTACAGTTGCAATGGAGTCTTCAGCCAATCCTATGGAGAACTCTGGAGCTAGGATGGCTCTTCAGAGGTGTCCCAAATTGAGGCAAGGAGTCAAAGAGAAAAAGGTATATTCCCTCATCAAACTGTCATGGGACAGAAATTGAATTAGGCTAAACAGAGTGGCTTTAATCAAGGTAACACCCCTGGGAAGTCAGCTCTCTTTAGCCAAGTTAAATTCCCATAGAGGGAGTGGGTTGGTAGTGGTGAGCTTCCAAAACATTCTGAAGCTGGGGAATGAGGACCTCAGGGCTCAAAGGTCAAGGGCCAAAGTATTACAGTTCTTTTTTTCATTCTACATATGGCTCCAATGTTCCTCCAACAAGTTCCTCCTTCACTTAAATTTTTAAAGTTGATTTATGTTGCTTACCATCAGTGAAATTTAACTGATACAACACCAATATAAAATTAGTTCCCAACATTTTCTAGTCTCTTCATTTTGGTTCTCTTTAATGACATAATTGACATGAATCCTGCTTCCAATCTCTCGTAATCTACCCTTCCGCAAGCAAGTCTATATTTAAATTTATACTCCAAATCATGTCTGCCACATAGTTGAACATAGGAAGTTCCTTAGTAAAATTTGGGCCTCTGGTGAGCAGAATAGTGGTCCTTCCAAGGGTACATAGGCCACAAGTAGAGCATGGGAGTAATATTAGATATATACTGATCTGAAATGGAAGGGCAAGAATTAATGAAATAACTACCTGAAGAGTCTTGCTCCGGAAATATACGTAGTTATAAAATTTTCAAAGATCTGGAGGCACAGAAGCATGTGCCAACATTAAGAAAGCAGCCAGTATCTTAGGTCTCTGATGAGACATCAGATTGCCATGAAGTTTATAGATTTCGACAGCAAAGGAAACCAGGATGCGTAGTGCTTCAGCAGGTGACCAGTCAGGCAGCAAGCAACATTTATGTTCAGTGGGGACAGGCCTCAGCCTCTGTGTTACTCTTTAAATATATAACTTTAGTGTAAGAGCAGAAGACTACTGAGTTTATGGAAGAATGTCAAGCTCTTAGTTGGGGTTATAGGGCAGAATTCTAGCACTGAACATAAAAGGTAACTGGACCAAATTTGGGAGTAAAGTCAAAACAAAAACTCAGTATCAATGGATTAAGCCAGCATGGTGGAGGAGGAAATAACTATGGCTTTGAAGCAACATGAGTTTCTACTCCCTGAGATTGAAGGAGCTGAGTCCTGGATATTGGCAGTGAGGGGAAAGCAGGAGCAATCAATACTATAGGTAAAACTCTATGGTTTGCCCAGGACAGTCCTGGTTTTGCCCCTTATACCAGAGCCCTTCTTCATTCAGCATTTGCACTAGAGAAAATGCCCAAGTTTAGTTGACATATATGTGGTCACTCTACTAGCCACATGATCTGGAGAAGGGGAAGGCCAAATGATAAGGATACCTAATATTTACCGCACCTGCCAGGTAAGCTTAAATGCTGCAGTTGAGACAATGAGAGCAGAGGGTAGACAGAACCAGCAGAGGTTCATAGACTGGCAGAATGAGGCAACAAAGGAAAAAGTGATCGAAGACCACCTACCCAGGCAGAGAAGTAACTGCACTCTGATATCCAAATATAGCTTTCTTTTGGTATGTGAGTTAAAAAAAATAATATTAATGCCTTAGTTAATTATATAATGCTTCCCCCACAGAGCTACAATTTCTTTCTACACTTTAACATTTTTGTTTTCTCATTGTCAAGTGACCCTGTTGTTTCCCAAATGAATCAATTGGATTTGGCTTGGATTAATTTAATTGAAACAACTGCTATCATGATGCAAAAAAAAATGCATACCCAGTTAATATAATAGGACTGATTACATGACTGTAGTCTGAAAAAGAAAAAAGAAAAAAAATATGCAATCATATATATCTAAATCTCTACCAAAGCAAACTCCACAAATCCAGTAAAATTACGCATTTTACTAATTTGCTTTAATTCAAGTCAATTCTATAGCTTAAATTTAACATTCCCACTCCTGGGAAGCCAAATTCTTTAGAGATTGAATATCTTAAATCCTTAGGCCAAGATAGAGCCTTTAATTGAAAAATAATCTTACTCTTTCTTTCTGTGTTAAGGGGTAAAAAATTAAAATCACTGTATTTTTTTCCCCTTCTGGTCCTAAGAGAGGTTTCCCCATTCATGACATAATTGAAAGTTTTCAAACCTAAAACACTTTTACAGCAGGAACAAATCAGGCTAAATAGAATCCCTCTCTCAGCTTTTTGGAGAACAGGCTCCATGAAGCTCTCAGAGGGCTCAAAGTAGGACAGTGTAGTAAGAAATGAGGCTAGAAATAAGGGCAGGGTACCAATGGGGAAAAGGGGCTTAGCAAATAATTACCTAAGAAAACATTCACCAAAAGTTGGAAATCTTATAACCAGAGTGGCCAACAACATTAAGTAAGAATTTATTTATATTGATATATAAACAAATGACTAAGAAGACATAAATTCTCTAAAGTACTGTTTCCTGTATTTAATCAGTTTCAAAGCAGTACAGTGTAGTGGTCAAGAGTATAACCTTGAGTATCAGTCTACCTGGTCCCTGCTCTTAGCTCAATCTCCTACAATGTAGGAGATGTAACTAACCCCAGGTACATTATGTAACCATTAATTCTCAGTTAGATCATCAGTAAAACAGGGTTGGTCATAGTAGTATGTCACAGAGTTATGAGAATATATCCAATTAATATATGCTCTAAAAATGTTTAATATCATCTTTTCTAATCCTTTTTTCATTCTGCCAGTGAAAGTCAGCAGAAATTTTAATGACTTCTCATCTGGGAACTGGATGGTTTCCACTGAGTAAGATGGTTTTGTTCATTCAGGTTTCTCTTTATAATCATCTCTGAAGCTCCCTTTCAACTCTCCCTGGATCAAACAATTGTCAGCATTTGCACATATGGGGATATTTAACCACATAGTTTGGACAACAAATTTGCTTCTGAAGACTAGTGATTCTGTTTATAGTGTAGTTTAGAATCCAAAACATGTTCTTCATCCTGAGATATACTCATACCACATAGCTTGTACTAAAGAAAATAATCAAAGCCACTTGCAAAGTACATTGAGGATAAAGAGATAAAATAATGAATGTCATTACTGCTTTAAAACCTAAGTTTTAGAGCAGTCCCTCAAACAATTTTAGCCCATATGCACTTTTGATAAGTATAAATATAATGAAACATTCATAAGTATTATTAAGTAATATGTGGAATTCATAGGTATTAATAAGTAATATTTGGAATATGCAGATAAACACCGCATACTAGGACTACATGAAGAGTACATTGAAGGTCTTATTGTACAGGTGCACACAGAGACATTAATTCTCATGTTGGCCCAGAAGGACATACTTACTTTACCAAAGGAAAGAACTTTTATCAGCTTCCTTCACTGCTCTAAGGTTGTTTCCTTGTGGGAACAAAATAGGTATAAATTTGCCTATATTTGGCAGTTGTAATGAGGATTAAATAAAACCATGTATATATAGTATATATAGCACAGGGCCTGATATAGGGCAAGTACTCAATACATGATATATATATCGTCTTAGAAATCATTAGCCCTATTAGTGTGTTAGAGTATATTTTCACACTATGTACAAAATTCTTAAAATTTATAATGTAGAAGTCAGGGAGTTAGAAAAATAAATTGAATATAAAAGCTACTGATTAAGTATCAGTGTATTTTTTTCCAGGATTTATATTCCTTGTGCATTTCCAATTTTTTTTACTTTTTAATCATCTTTCAAGTTCTTTCCTCATTTTGAAAAATTTGAAGATAAATAATAAAAACACATCCTAAGAAGGCTATGATATTAGAAAGAAAGCTTACAGCCAGGTGTGTTCTTTAATCTCTGTGAAACTTAATAGGAATTCTATTTTCTTCTTCTGACTTGAATAACATTTTCTTTTGAAGTAATTTAAAACATATAGCTATCAATATTATACATATTCAATAAGAAAATTCCAATAAGCAAGGAAAAGAAAATACAAATTACTTTCGGTAATTATCTGCTTCAACCATAACAGAGGAACTGGTACTAAACAAATTCTGCCACCAAAAGCAATTATAAAACTGGAAAAATATGTAATGCAACTCTTTTAAGCATTGGGCAGTAGGCAGCACAAGAGCATAATCTCTGAAAGAAGGGAAACTCACAAGGTGACTCACATGTTTGTTCTAGCTCTCTGCCTAGAGATAATTGCCTAGTTCCCAGTCTAGGGAGCTTGAGTTCAAGTGGAGCATGGTGGTCCTCCTCAGATGTGGAAAGAAGAGATACACGTTTGAGGCCACCCAAGTGACTGGAATCTGTTGGGCAGGAAACTGAAAAGATGGGAGCTACACAGGGATTGGGAGTGGGAAAGGCAGAAGCTCATTTAGGAATTCTCTATGAATCTTTGGCTGAGGACTGGTTTGCACATGCATGGAACCAGACTATACAAGGCTTAACAATGAGTAGCAACTATAGGTCTGAGAGAGAAACAGAAATACTAGAGATCAAACAGTGCTGGGAAGTAGAGTTTCAGCCCAATTCCAACACAGACATCTAGCTGAAAATCAGAAAGGCCGCAACCTGAGGACTAAAGATCACACCCTAGAGTAGACCTATTCTAGACATGCTCTAACAAAGCCTGAATAACAAAAGCCAAAAATTCTTTAAATAAGTTCAGGGGATGTAGTACTTGGGAGCTCAGATCCTTCCAATTTAGAGGGGCTTAAGAAGCAAGTTGGGATTTTCACAGAACTACCATAAAAAAGCATAAAAACAGACACATGTTCACTGCGATCAGCCAGTTATTGGCCTGCCTGCAAGAACAAAAATCAATGTTCTTTAGAGGTGGCTAGCAGAATCTAGAATCACAACAATGCATTACCCTAACATCTGGTATATAATAAATATCAGTGTACATGCAAACAGGAAAATGTGGCCCACATTCAAGAAACAAAAACAGTCAATAACTGACTCTGAAAAGGTTCAGATGTTGGATTTAGCAGGAAATAATTTAAAGAAGTTGTTACAAGTAATTTTAAATATGTAAAGGAAAATATGGTCATTTTGAGTGAACAGATAGGGAATCTGAGCACATAAATGGAAAAAAAGAACCAAATGAAAGTGGAAACAATAAATGAAATTTTTAAAAATTCTGACAGGCTTAACGACAGATTAGAGACGACAGAAGGCAGAATCAGTAAACTTGAAGCTAGAGCAAAAAAAATTATACAATCTGAAAGCCAGGCAAAACTATAACATTCATAACTTGGGAAGATACAGTGAAAGATATACATAAAGAGAAACAATGGCATTAAATGTATCTCTAAAACAACAAACACACACTAAAAATGAATAAGAAGCCACCTGATGACCCACATACATAAGGTCAAACTAAACCTAAATGAAAGAGATAATATATATAAGAAAATAATTTTTTAAAAAAATAGAAAATAAATGCCCCAAAGGGGATCAACAAAGCCAAAGTCTGGTTCTTTGAAAAAAATTGAAAGATGTATTACTTCCAGTACTTAATTTTCCGCATATGTCTAAATGTTTTATATATGAATATATATGTAGCTATTCATGTAATGAATATGTCATATCTAATATATAAAATAATTTAGCTATATTAATATTAAATATATTATTTTCTTGGTATTTATGATTAATGATAGTCATGTCTTAATTTTGAATTACTTTATTCAAAAGATAAAGTGACTTTTTTGTTCCATTTAACATATTGTACTTTTAACATAATATCAACTCATGTTCTGTTGTTGATTATGCTTGCCTTGTTGATTTTGAGTATTAAGTTACTTTGAATTTGTGTGTAGGTTTTAACATGTGTCAAGAACAACATGTAATTGAATTGAATTTTTAAAATTTCATCTTATAATCTCTGTGGTAAGTCCAATCCAATTTCTTTTATAATTTAAGAGACTATACCTTTGCTTATGTTAATCATTTATATTCTCAATTTTTAAAGTTATTTGTTGCTCATAATTTCTCTTGTTTTATATGAGGCTTGTATTCCCTTTTATTTTTCTAAATTTTCTTCAATCTTTAGAGAATGCGTCCTAATTTTAATCATTCCAAATATATAAGAATTCTCAAAAGCATCTTAAAATGTATTTATTTGATTGTCATCATCAAAAATATGTTTGGGTCTTTCTTCTTTAATTAGGAAAATTTTACTCTCTTCCCAGTAACTCCCCACACATACACACCACTCAAACTTTGATGATATTACTAATATTTCTGGTACTGATTACAGGTATAACATATTTTCAAATAACATTAATTTTCATTAAAGAGTAATTACTGTGTTACATTTAGTTTTAAACCCAGATTTATAATCTAATCATTTTGATCTTTAATTGCTTCTAGTGCTTATTACTAATTTCAACTTCTAGTCAATGCCATTGCCGTGTCCCTTCCTAGACGGTGTTTTGCCATTTGAAGCTAACATCTCTAAATTAGCAGAGCTCAAAACTGGGAAACTGGAAGCAAAAACTCCACAAGTGTGTTTGAAGGTTTAACAAGGGGAAACTCCACTTCCATGTTCACTTCCCTTGATTCCTGGATCCCCATGTTATTCCTTGAGAACAGCAGCCCAAATGGTGTTTGTTTCTAAGTATATGCTGTATACTCTAAGATCAATCTCTCACAAAATCAGGTTGCTACCATCCCATTTGTGCCATAATTTAGTCTTTGGGAGACCATTTTATTAAACTAGTCAGTTGCTTTTGCGTGAAGAAGCTTATGGTAATTACTAGGTGAATTCCATATACATGAGTCATTGCCACATGTATTTTGCTATGAAATGAGTTCCCTGACCAGGATCAATGTTGCTTGTATCATGGTAAATAATAAGGCATTCATAAGCCTGTGGATAATAGTGTTTGTAGAAACTTTGTGGGCAAGGAAAAAAAATGCATATCCAAAATAAGTGTGTATTCTAATGAGGAACAAATCTCTGCCTCAGCCAAGATAGAAGGAGGACAATGTAAGCAATCTGAGACCAAATGGCCCCCTCATCTCTCTCAGGAGGATCAGGACGGCTCTCTCAGAAGTCCGGCTCTAAGCCAAAATCCTGTGTGTGTGCATCTTTCAAGCCCAACCATTGATATTTACAAAGGCTCTGTACTACAGCCCTTCTGGGGGATACTGCCCCTCACACACTGGGCTCAGTAGAAAGCCTGTGCATTAATTTTTTGGAGGAAGTTTTAGTCAAGGCTTCTGGCTCCCTATGCTCATGTGGGTGTCTGCATTCCTCTCCCAGGGACCACCACTCAGAGGCCTCCTCATTGGCAAGGTGGGGTGAGGTTTGATGGTCTTGACTGAGGCACTTTCAGCACAAATTCAAGATCAAAGATACGATAAACTAATCCCTTTCTAACATGATCCCATGTATTATATTAGTCAGAGTTCAATCAGAAACTTGGAAACAATACTAGTTATTTTAACTAAGAGAATTTAACATAGGAAAAGCAGTTAGGCACTGGAGGACTAAATAAGCAAAGGAAAACACTGAGCCACCACAAGTTAGTAACTGCAGGAAACAACAACCAACCTTAAGCCAGGAAAACAAAAGATAAATGTTGCTAATATCTGCACCTGCAGAGCTCTGAGAAGATGGCATCTCTGACTGCTACTAATGCTCCATTTGCTCAGAGGAGGAATCCCCCGCAAGTCTTGGATTCAGACATTTAAGAAGGGCTTTCTAGGTAGCACAATGAGGCTGATCTGAGAATGTGGAAAGAAGCTGGCAACTGGAAACAACTCTGCTTTCTGAGGTGAAGAAATGTTTCCTAGAGGTGCTGACAGGAACAATATGGAAACAGAAAGAAGCAAGTTATTTCTCTGTGTTCTGCCTCCCAGCCTCCTCTGGCACCTCCTATTGGTATTCTTGGCCAGGGAGAGCCACTTGGCAAAGAAGACATGTAATTTGCATTGTACCAGCCCCAGAATCACAAAGCAGATTACACAAAGTTGGGTTTAGGGATAAGAAATAAGCTTAACAATTGATACACCATGTCTTCATTATTTTAAAGCTTTTAATTTTTATTCATCTCTTGGTCAATTGGAGTGAATCGACATAATTTCAGTGCCATATTTTTTTTTTATTTTTTTGTGGCTTTGGAATCTAAGAATGTTATTCTTTTGCCTTTGTTAATAAATGACAACTTATTTTTTTACAAAAGTCCTGTGTTATAATTGTTTTTATGCTCAAAATTTCTTAGATATTATTTCATAATACTCAGGAATTTAATGTTGTAGAGGAGAGTTTGGATGCTATACTGTTTTGTTATGTTGCAGGTAATCTGTTCTCCTCGAGTTATAATTGAATTATTTTTATTCTTAATACATAGAACATTAAGCTCAGTCTGGGTATATCTTCATTTGCTTGGTTTGGAATAGTGACCCTATTTCGATCTGTATCATGGTCTGCCTTTGGCTGGGATATTTGCTCTCATTTTTTATGATTGAATAGTGCATCTTTCTCATTTGTTCCAATTTCTTCTTTAGATGTAGAATTATCAATATATTGGCTTTCCAGTTTTGTTCTTAGATATATATTATTTCTTATTATCATATATATTTTTCCTTCCCTTTGATGACTAGGAGAGCTATTCAAATATATTCTTTACATCATGGATTCGTTTTTCTGCAACATCACTTCTGCTCAGAACTGCTATTACCTTTTAATTTCTTTCAATTCTTCCTTATCGCATCTTATCTTTCACTCTAATCCTGTTGCCTTTTAATATTATTCAGGTTTTCCTTCATGAGTCCTATAACTGCTGTTCATAAATGCCATGGTTCCTTGTAACCTATTGCAGATGCTGAATTTTTTTTGAAATTTTCTTCTCGACCATTCATTAGATAATTTTTAGAAGTATTTTCTGCATGTAAGTCTTCAAATGCCATTCTCATTATCTCTTTCTTCAGTTCACGTTACTGGGATTTCTTTCTTTTAAGAGATCTCCTAAAATGGTGTCCTATATTCAAATACAATGTCTCCTATCAGATATGGTGTGAATTGTTTTGTGTCTTATTTTCTTCTTCTGTGGCAAATATCTTTCTTCAAGCTACACCTCAGGATCAAATTTGTGTGCTCAGTTCCCAGTATAAGTTTGTTTCCAAGAACTTTCAAATAAATTGTCTTGTGAGATGAAATCTTTTAGTGTTCATACTCTCTGGTTTCTGTCATTCTGAAAATAAGGTGTACATGAAAACTTAGAATTTCCAACATGCTCTTCCTTCAGAGTTATTCATGTTTTCTCTTACATCTTTACAGGTTTACTTATGTTGATTATTCATCTTCAATATCATGTGCTGCTGACAGCACTTCTCACCCTCTTACCCACTGCCACTTCTGCCCAGGCATCTTCGTGGCTTTGCTCTCTCTCTTCCTCTCTCTCTCAGGAAGATGTATAGTCAAAGTGGATACTAATTCTGCCTACTTGCCATGTAAGCAGAGTGTTTGCCTATTTTTCCAGTGAATACATTTTCTGAAAATTTGAATCTGGATGTAGGTGTACCTGTTTTTTTTTTAAATGCTTTATTATATGAAGACAGGAGTATCTAATTAGGAGTGAATGATTGTGTTTTTCTCAATCCAGATTCATGTGTGTTTGATACCAGATTCCCAAAAAATTAGAGCTTGAGGCAAGGACTATTTAGACTGTATCAACCCAGGACAGCTAAAGTGAGGCATAAAAAAGTTAGGTGAAGAAGAATACAAAACTGCAAAGTGATGCATTGCAGCGTCAACTACCACTTCACACAGGAGTCCCTCCACAGGTCCCTCCGCAGGTATCTCTGCTAGACATTCTGAAACTATCAGGAGAACTGTATGAAGAAACATTCTTGGAGCAGTGCATGTGATACAGGAAGAAGGTGGAATTTATTTGTATGCTTTTTCTTGACTCTTGCTTCCCAGGGGACACAGTTTACTCATGAGTGAGTTACCCCTATCACACTTCCAGGTTGCGTCATCTGGATCCTTTGGTAGCTGTTCAGGATGCCAAATCCTATGACCTGTAGTACGTATTTTAGTTGGGTCCAGGAGTGTCAGGGGAGACCAAAAGTCTAGGTATATAAGACTGGTCAGCCTGGTTGCAAAGAAGTGGCCTAGAGAGAGGGCCTGCCACTCTCAAGGCCGATGAGTTGTTGGCTGCTTCAGGTGGAGTCAAAAAGGTAGAGAAAAGGGAGTGCCATGGCAATCTGGAGTGATTAATACAATTTACATGATACAGTGTGCCTTATCATTATGAATTTCTGTGGATTATTGCATTAGAGCACTGATCGGATGTTATTGCAAGTGTTTTTGTCACTTTTTGGCAACTGAGCTCATGTTTTTATAGTGGGAGTTTTTTAGTAGGAGTCTAGTGGGAAGTTGATATTGAGTGCTGATGGCCAGATATGAGAGCAACTTTCGAGATTTGCATGAATGCTTTAGAGATAGTAAGTTTTATCTCTGTACCTACGTTAACATATAACTTATAATTATCAGTATGCAATTTGTCAAATTATTCTAGCTGATTTATTTTTAATGAAAGGTGAACTCTAATTTATTAGTTGACATTGTTTAATTCCTTGTTAAATTAAAAAGGATTCATTCTCTGCTGGAATGTCTAATATTTGACATGTCACATTTTCTGTTTATATTTTATTTTGAAGGAGTGGGCTGATTTTGATGAAATAAAGATAGCTAATAAGAGGTATCAAGACAAACTATAAAATTATTTTGTGGTCCTGGCTGCCTTCTTGCAAAAATGAATAAAAAATTCGCATTAACATATCACCTGTGATTATACAAGTCATGCTTTAGAATTCAAGGAACTAGATAAACTACAATATGTGCTCTATTAAAATATTTGAATATATAATGGTAATAAGTGACTACCATTTGGAGAAATATAAGTCAAAAAATTACATAATTTTTTCTCTTTACTGATTGTATGTCATCTTGCACAAAAATAGCAGTGGAACTAATCTACCAAGAATGGGAAAACTGTTCTGAGTTAGTTTTCTAGTGGCTAGAAAGTGAATTTTACAAATTAAGTTTTATACCATCACACATGTAATCATTTGAATCATGTACTTATGATCTAAAGAAATTATAGTTTGTTATTTTTTCAATATTCCAACGGAGCAAAACAAACCTATATATGTGCACTTCATCCTCAAACATAAATGGGTCAGTTCTCTGGATTTAAGACACTGGCCAGGCGCGGTGGCTTATGCCTGTAATCCCAGCACTTTGGAAGGCTGAGGCAGTGGATCACGAGGTCAGGAGATTGAGGCCATCCTGGCTAACCCGATGAAACCCCGTCCGTACTAAAAATACAAAAAATTAGCCGGGCGTGGTGGCACATGCCGGTAGTCCCAGCTAATCTGACGGCTGAGGCAGGAGAATCGCTTGAACCCGGGAGGCAGAGGTTGCAGTGAGCCAAGATCATGCCACTGCACTCCAGCCTGGGAAACAGAGCCAGACTCCGTCTCAAAAAAAAAAAAAAAAAAAAAGAAAAAGAAAAAGAAAAAAAGACAGTAAAGATAATTTATTACTTGGAAAGTATATGTCTCTTACAGAAAAATATGAAATAGAAATCTAGTTTTTCCTAGCCAGTTTTAACTTTGTCTTTATTTAGGTAGTTAGGGGGGAAAAAGGATGGAAGAAAAGTAGAGAGGAAAACATGGCCAAGGGGAACAGGAAAATGAATAGTGAACAGAGAGATAATTGAGAAAGGTACATTAAATTTATCTGTCAGGTGTTGGAGATCAGTATTAAAAATTTAAAGCACCCAAACCAGAACATCATTACCAACTTCAAACAAAGAGAATGACTTTACTGCACTGTTTTTAAGGGTTTTTTTAAATCAAGATACTCAAAATTCATTTTTTCCAGATAGTTATTCATATTTTAATGATCATCAAATTAAGTAACATGCCCTAAGTTCCTGGACAACACCATTTTTTACTAAAAACAAAAACAATTTTTATCAAAGATGTTTATACCTAAGGAATATAAAATCTAGCTAGCAAAATTCCACTGTGTGAACCAGAGAATATATGAAGTTATTCTGTGCATTTCCTCTCAGAATTTGACTGTACAATGTGACCTTTAGTGAAAGCTGGCATTATATACAGATATTTTGATGTCTCAATTGCATGAAAACATTTCTTAACAAATCGAAATCAGTGAACTGTCTCTACTCATATATATATATGTATATATATATAAAATATATGTGTGTGTTTATATATATGTGTGTATATATATACACATTGAACCCAGGAGGCGGAGTTCATATATATATATGTGTATATATGTATATATGTATATATATGTGTGTGTGTCTAATATGCTCTTGTCTAATATTTATACTTATGTATATACACACATATATATCTATAAAATACAGAGTAGAATCTTTTGAGCTAAGGGGAGAACGTGGAAGAGGGGTTACTAAATAATGTTAGAATAGCTTCATTGAAAAGCAGTGTAAACAGCTTCATTGAAAAGTAATGCTAGAGGGAAGCCATAAACCCTCTCATTCTGTAATTAAGAATTTTGATAGATAAGATAAAAACAGTAACTTCATTTCTCAAATAAGATAAAAACGATAACTTCATTTCTCAAATTTGAATTTTTCTTCAAAAAGTGCTTTAGTTGCACTTCATTTCACATACCATATTTACCTTCCAGCCTCAGGACAACTGACATGAAAAATGTATATTCCTACAAAGAAACTTTAAAAAAAAAAAACAACCAAATGACTTGTTTCACTTTTATTTAAAAAAAACTAACAGGTTTTTCCAATTTTTTAATATTTCTGCTAGTAGAAAAAGGTTTTCAGTTACTCGACAGATACACCTTATCTCATACTGCAATTCTCTCAGGCAATGCGTACACATTTTGTGTCCGTTCACAGTGCAGTTCACTTGGAGACAAAAGCAAAAAGAATTTGTTTCACTTGAGCTATTCCTTTTTAACATATGCTTTCCAGCTGACTAACGTTATTTTTAAAATTGTAACAGTCAAAAGGGCATCAGCCATAACCATCAAAATTGTTATAGTTTTTTTTAGCATGATAATGCTCAAGGAAGGGACTAGAAATTTGTTATAATTTTTCATTAATGTTCTAGCATTCATAGTATGTCATGTATATAGATAGCCCTATAATTACCTACAAATTAACTATATTAAAAGATACCTCGATTTAAAATATCATGTTCAAAAACTACCTCCTATGAAATATTACCACTGGAGAAAAAATTCTTATGTTACCATTCTAAGTAAGAATATCTCATTGGCCTTGCTGTTAAAAGAACAATAGAAGACTAATTAGCTCAACTATGTATTAGTCCCAGTGAGGGAACCCCAAAGCCCACAGTAATTTTGACATAGATGTATGCCACATGATACCTTTATTATATGCTAATGATATTTGACCAGGAAACATAATAAAACTTCTTTAAAAATTCAGCCAGAGGCCGGATGCAGTGGCTCACGCCTGTAATCCCAGCATTTTGGGAAGCCGAGGTGGGTGGATCAGGAAGTCAGGAGTTCAAGACCAGCCTGGCCAACATGGTGAAACCCCGTCTCTACTAAAGAAACAAAAAATTAGCTGGGCGTATCGGCATGCACTTGTAATCCCAGCTACTCGGGAGGCTGAGGCAGGAGAATTGCTTGAACCTGGGAGGCGGAGATTGCAGTGAGCCGAGATCACGCCACTGCACTCCAGCCTGGGTGACAGGGTGAGACTCTGTCTCAAAAAAAAAAAAAAAAAAAAAAAAAAGAATGATTTTATTATAATTCTAAATAAAAAAAACTTTATGTTTACTATAAGTTCTTTTAACATACTTGCTAATTCAGCTATGTTCTGTGCATCTCTGTTTTACAATCAATCTAGTATATTTTTTAGCTGAAATAACTATTTTATCATCTCTAAATGTCCACTGATAATATGTTGAAGGATATAGAACTGTATACAGTCAGCTAACAAAGGATTTGGGGTTTCATTCATTTTTTGTCCATGATTGTTGCTACATTGAATATGGTATATTATACCTTCCCTTCTTTTCTGAAGAATTTCATCAGGAGGTACGAATATATTTAATGTATTAGACAGAAGGAGACTTTTTGGTTGTTGGTGATGGTGGGTGGTTTTTAAACAATATCAGAAATATAGCTTGGAAATTTTAAAATATGCATCTTGGATCACAAATGTTGAAAACTAGCTGATGACACCCTCTGTTTTTTTTCTATTCTGCTACACTGAAATTCTGTGAGGTCAGAGTTATTTCTAGTTTGTTTACCTCTGTATCTTTAGCATTCTGCACAGCATCTAGCCTTTGATCAATATTTACCGAATATGTTTATTATTGAATAAAGGAAGAAGTGAATGCTAAAATTCTAGACTGCAAGGAGCAACGAAGCAGATATTCATTTTAAGAAATTTTCCTGGTGTGTCATCTACCTTCCAAAATTAAACATCAAATAAAATTATGTGTTGCTGTTGTTGGAAAATGATGATGATTGTGTAAAGCATTTCACTCACCCTTGGCTTTATTTGGAAATCACCTGGGGAGTTTTAAAAAATACTGTTGTCTGAGTCCCATCCCCAGTAATTTCATTATAATTGGCTTGGGGTGTGGCCTGGGATTGGGATTTTTCCACTAGAATCTCTAAGAGTTTCTAGTGTGCAACTAAGATTGAGAACCACTGTTATAATATGATGACATAAAGATGACTATGAAGAAGGGACATTTCAGAACACCTAGCTTACAATCTTAATTTATGAAAATACAAAGAAGCTTTATTTTTAAAGCCAATTTTAGATAACACAATAAATCGATTCCATTTCTGGGTGACATACCAGCACACACATACAGAAATAAATCCTTAAACACCTTCTTTTGTTCTTTTCCTTTTTTATAGTTCAAAGAGAAACAAAGTATAAAAACACACTCATCAAAAGAGCTAAATTTGGCCCACTTCTTGAATAATAACAACATATTTATATGTAAAGGTAAAAAGCTTGGGAAGGGGAGAAACGAGTGGAGAGGGGATACTGTTTCCTAAATCTACAGTTGGAAATGACCTATTTCCCACAGTATCAAAGAATCAGAAAATGTAAACACACTCGTGCTTTTCTGCTCAGCTATCTGCTTGCTGGCCTGACTCTTCTAACTGTTGGCTTTGATTACTTAACTCCTCCTACCTGTTCATCCAACAACTCTGGAACCAATCTCGTCACAAATCTAGAATTTAAGAAGCCTAATCCTATAACTCAGAAGCTCAACCCTTTGCTATTCCAATCTGATTTGGGGCTCTGGTTCCTGTAAGTGGATTCCTATCTTGTATCCTCATGTGTAAGTGTAAGTCCCTGCTGTCAAAGACTTTTACCTGATTATGCACCAGTCCTTTCAGCAGGGTTCTTTTCTTACTTGGTTTCTCCCACTTCTGGGGAACCGGAACCAGAATACTGCTCTTTGTACTCTCCAGAAGGTCCAAGGTTTTTTGTTTGTTTGTTTGTTTGTTTGTTTGTTTTTCTTAGAAACAGTATAACTTTGGGGCCAAGATTACCAAGCAGCAGAATTGATAGCCACCTACACAGCATAACGTATGGAACTACAAATAGCCCCCACAAAACATACCCCAAAATATCTGCTGAAGTACCTCTGCTAAAAATGGATGCACTTCTGTTCAACAAATTCATTGAGTATGCTAGGGCTATTATTATGGAAGCTATGTTTTCCAAATGGAAAATTGGGATGCATCTTGAGAGTAACTAGCACTAGGAGAGGGTATCTCATGCCAAGCTCAGTAAATCCAGAAGTAACTAACCATTTTTCCTAAAGTATTCTTTTTGGTCATTCATACACTAGTCCTTGAGGTTTTTCTCGCTCCAAATCCTGGAAGTCTTACTGCATTTCAGTACAGGGAAGAGTGATCTAAGTCCTGATGCCAGAAATGTTTAGAGGAAAAAATAGCTATGGAAAGTGTTCAGGCAAAGGGTAGTAATTCAAACACAGTATTTAATCTTTTAATCTGTAATCTTTACACTTATTGGCTGTATGAAAAGGAGAATTTTTTTTCCACAGAATTATTTTATCATCTGTAAATAATAATTCCTATTTGACAGAGTTGTTATGAGAATCAGATTAGATAATGCACCCAAGACAGTGCCCAGAAAATTAGGTACTAAAATGCAATTCCTATCATAATAATTAATACTGTTGCTAAGAATAGAAATTACGTTCCATGTGTCTTCAAAAGCACATAAAAGTTTGTTTCATCATTTCACAAAGACTCTTAATCTGTGAAGTCTAAAATTCTCTACCAATAGTTAAATATTGGTGAAAATGTAGATTACTACTTTTGCAGCTAACCCCCTCCCAAGATGATGCCTCAGCTAAAAATGTAACAGATAATATTAATTTCTGAAAGAGAAAGGAGAGCTAACAAGATGATGTTTCCAACCCTTATATCCACAGCAGGATTGCTTCAATTCCAACAGCTCTTCATATGCAGCTAACATGCAGGTTAAGAGTTTAGTGCATTGTTATTATGACATGGTTTTTTTGACAACAGCAATCAGCTATTGTTGGTAAGTGAAAGTTGAAAAGATTGAATTGGTCAAATAAAAGCATTTTCTGCTGGGAATGCAATTGAGAAAGGCAACAGTCAAAACACTGCCAAGGTGATTCACGATGTTGGAATGTTATCTGGAGTGGGTCAGAGGAAATGTTCCAATGGTATCATGGTTTACAGCTCAACTTCAAATTTAGGTTCTGATTATCTTTTAGCTGAAAGTCTGCAATCATGCTCAAAACACAGTAAAGACCATAAAGTCTTGTTGAATGTTTATCGTTTATAAAAGGGAACAGCAAAGCTGCATAATGGTTCTGCTTTAAATTCTCTATTGTCAAGGATAAATAAGTGCTATTCCTATGTTATCATAAAATAGATTTGTCTGCTTTATTTTTGATGTACTGAGGTTTTTAAAAATTTGTTTCTATTTGGCAGTCCCAAGTTCTTACTGAAAGTAATTGTTTTGTGATAAATGTGGGTGATTTATTTGGAACTATAGGAAAGTTATTGATATATATGTAACTGTAGCATTTAAAGAAATCGGCAAACCCAGCATCTGGTAAGCTCTAGTAAAGCAAGCTAGCTGGAGACAGTTTATCAAGTAGCTAAGGTCCTTTGATTATGGAAGAAACTGCTTGCTGGGTCCATGCTAAGAGGAAAGGAAACAGGGAGCATGAGAAAATGATTTCTTTATTCAATTCTATCAGATTAGTATTATTAATGGATTGCTTATGATTTTTAGAAAATTCAGCTGGAAAATCAGAAAAGCTCCCTCTAAGTGTTTTCTCTCAAGCTACCCTGAAATATTGGAAGCGATCAACACCTGTCATTTATTTATTCATCCAGTAAATTCATCCAATACCAGTCATTCATTTATAGCATTATTATTAAATGGTAAGTAACACACTCCATGAGTGGAGGAAGTCAGAAAGAGATCAAATTAATAACCAATTTGCTAAATAAAGTTTGTATCATGGCTTAGAACTGTGGCCAAAATTAGCCTTCCTACTCCACTTTCCCAATATTTGACCTTGGCTTCCACCCAATAGGTAAAATAGGATTTGCAAAGTGATACCAACCTGGTCTGTGACACATGCTTTTCCATGCTTGCCCTCATGGAACTCAGAGAACTGGGATATAGAAAGACAGCCTTCTAGATTTGCTTTGCAAAGGCAGGCCCTTGATCCTGACCCAGACATGATTTTTGTGTGTGCGAAGCCATAAAGAGTAGCAGAAACCATGCATACACCAGACAAATAGATCCTAAACTAAACTAAACATTTCCATAAAGGCTAGGACAGTCTTGTTCATGGCCGTGTGTCGATCTATTTTCCTTATGGAACAGGAGGGATTAAAAATGTTCTTAATCAATATTGCCTCCTCCTGGTAGGTGCAGAGGATGCTCCCTTTCTTTACTATGGAAATGTGAGGAGTGAGTGTATAATAATCTCTCAACAATATTTTTGCTAAGTTTGAATGATGAGCAGGAGTTCATCAAGAACATGACAAAGAGAAAAGCTGATAGATATTATAAGCAGAGAACTAAGGCTTCCAAGACTGGAACCTAGGATGTGAAGAGGGATAGGGTTAGAAGAGGGGAGGAAGACGAGATGGAAGAGTAAGAAGTGACCCTTAGATTCCTGATCCATCACTCCAGAAATTCTGATTCAGTGTGCTTAGACAGTGGGGTTTGAGGATTAATTTCAAGTGCCCACTTGACTGGGTTAAGGAATACCCAAATAGCTGGAAAAGAATTATTTCTTGAGATGTCTTTGACGATGTTTCTTGAAGAGATTAGCACTTATGTCAGTGGACCAAAGTAAGAAAGATCAGCTTTCACCAGTATGAGTGACCATCATTCCATCTGTTGAGGGCCCTCATGAAACAAAAAGGCAGAGGAAAGACGAATTCTCTCTCTGTTCAAAGGTGGGATGTGCATCTTCTCCTGCCCTCAGACATCAGAACTCCAGGTTCTCAGGCCTTCAGACTCTGGGGCTTGCACCAGTGGCCCCAGGCTCTCAGGCCCTTGGCCTTAGACTGAGAGCTGTACTTTTGGCTGCCCTGATTCTCCCAGGCTTTTAGATTCAGACTGAATTAACCTCTGGTTTTTCCGGTTCTTCAGCTTGCAGACAGCATACGGTGGGGCTTCTCAGCCTCCATAATCATGTGAGTCAATTCCCATAATAAATCCCTTCATGCCTGTATATATCCAGTTGGGTCTGTTTCTCTGAAGAACCCTGATGAATACATAGGACCATGGAAATTTCATTGTTTGTTTGTTTGTTTGTTTTTTAAACAGTGATCAACTAACTCTAAAATAGGTAAACCCCAGGTTGAGAATCTCTCTTCTAGGTTGTGAAGAGATTTTAAAGAATTTAAACCAAGGATTAAAGTGGGAGAGAGAGGAAGGGTAAATATCAAAGAGAAAGTTTCTGTCTAGAGTGACTGAGCAGATGGTGGGGCTATTAACCTAGACTAGACACATATCTTGAGAAAACTTTACATTCTAAAATAAAATATTCAGTTTAAGTTTAAAGTTATCTACTCACTCCTGGATGAAGTCAGAGTTTAGTTATGTTGTAATTTATAAACACTAAGAATGAGTAGATAGTTAATTTACCCAGGCTCATTATTTTATTGAAGAAAGTGTATCGAACCACGTAGTGTGAGGAGTCTCTATTCTTACCTTTGACAAAAGACAATGAAGATAAAATTTGGCCTTTCTGTCAAATGGGGTCATCTGTGCTACTTTTGGTCTTTGGGCTAGCCAGTCTACAGATAACCAACAGTTACTCAGCCAAGTTCTCATGGGAGTGAGAATATGTCATGCTCATCTTGTTTCTAACAGGACATTGTCATACCCATCACTGCTTCACCAAGTTTCCAGAACCAAACACTGGTCTAGTTGAAGAATACGAAGTTCTTTATTTTTTATTTATTTATTTATTTAATTTTTATTATTATACTTTAAGTTCTAGGGTACATGTGCACAATGTGCAGGTTTGTTACATATGTATACATGTGCCATGTTGGTGTGCTGCACCCATTAACTCGTCATTTACATTAGGTATATCTCCTAATGCTATCCCTCCCCCACCCCCCACCCCACAACAGGCCCCGGTGTGTGATGTCCCCCTTCCTGTGTCCAGGTGTTCTCATTGTTCAATTCCCACCCATGAGTGAGAACATGAGATGTTTGGTTTTTTGTCCTTGTGACAGTTTGCTGAGAATGATGGTTTCCAGCTTCATCCATGTCCCTACAAAGGACATGAACTCATCATTTTTTATGGCTGCATAGTATTCCATGGTGTACATGTGCCACATTTTCTTAATCCAGTCTATCATTATTGGACATTTGGGTTGGTTCCAGGTGTTTGCTATTGTGAATAGTGCTGCAATAAACATACGTGTGCATGTGTCTTTGTAACAGCATGATTTATAATCCTTTGGGTATATACCCAGTAATGGGATGGCTGGGTCAAATGAGAATACGAAGTTCTTTTATAGCAGGGTAGAGCAAAATTCACCAGAGTGGCCAAGTGTGGGAGTTATTTTTGGCCTCTCTGGCTAACGACAAGGGCCTTCTAGAAAAGACTGATATACCCTCTCCTGGCTCCCTCCCTCCTCACTACTGGCCTCAATCCTTTACATAGTCTCCTCTTCACCTTTGCCCCACATTTAGTGTCAGATTCCCTTTTCTTCCCTGCAATTGAAGGCTGTAGCAAGTCCCTATCCCAACACTTGAGAAACTCAAGCTCTGACTCGAAGCTCTGAGAGGGTCTTCTGAAATAGAGAGTTGGCTACTGAGTAGTGGAAGAGTAGGTATTCATTGAAATTCACTTTCTCTATGAGTAAAATTTCTCACTAGGTACATAGGAAACAAGCCAGACCAACACATGTAGTTGTGCAAGTTGGAAAGGCAGTGCTCTGCACAAATGCCCAAATGAAGGAACACACAGAGGCTGAACTCCAGCCCACACTTTGTTCCTCTAGCCATGTGTCCTGACATAAGGTTGCATCTACCTAGAGACATCTCTTTTGCTTTTTGGCTCAAAAATCCATCTGGCCCAGAAATGGCCCTAGAGCAAGTCTCATCAAGATTAGCCTTTATTTACTATGAAAGGCTTGACTCATTCCAGACCCTACCCTGCACTAAAACACTTACATCAACTGCAAATTGCTTTCCTCTAGTCTTCAGGATCAATTTATGTTAGATACAATAATTGACAAGAGCAATTTGTTATTTTCTGCTCTGAATAAGTAAAACATGATTCTATTGCTATAGGAGTGTACCATCTAGCAAGTTAGAAAACATGTATACAAATAACTAATCAAAACAGTAACATATAAAAAGCACAAAGTCTTTCATGAGTTTGGAAAGTTTCTTCTAACAGAGGAAGTTTTCCAGGAAACAGTATCATTTAAGCAGCCATTGGGAGGTGGACAAAATTTTAATAGCAGATGGGACAGCATTGTGTGCAGAACAAGCTCAGCCCAAAGGCAAGATTGTCAACAAGCACGGAGACGAGGGAAACTGTAGTACTTTCAGGGAGGCTGCAAATCATTCAAGAGTGAGTGAAAGTAAGGGAAAATATTACTACCGTGATCAAAAGAGAAGGTCCGGAAGACTGCACACGATTTCGCCCTGTGATTTGAAGCCATGCAGCCCAGAACTGCCTGCATGACCACTTTGGCTTCTTCTACCAGAAAAGCTTCACTTTATCTGTTATACATACTGGTGTCAGAAGCCAAAAAGAAAAAAAAAATGTGAAATCCACTTGTCTAATCTGACTTCGTCTTTCAGATGGAGATACAGGAAAAGATACAAGAGTCCTAGCCAGCATCACATAACTAGTTAATAGCAGGGCAGGACTAGAACTCAAGGCTTTAGGTATTTTCACTTCCCAGCTACTCATACTAGAATACTAATATTTTCTGGTACATAGGACAATGTACTAGAAAATAGGTTGACCTATAAAGAGTTTACCTAGCACATTTCCTGGAGCGTGGATTTACTTTGATGGGAAATAAGTAAAAGTATTTTTTCTATTAAAATAAAATGCACAAATTTTTAAGTTAAAAGTATTATTGGTTATATCAGGTATTCCAGATTCCTGGGATATATTATGATTATTGCTGGCAATAGAGGTATTTGGATGGAACATTTTATGAGGCAATTTGTTATAAGGCTGGAAAAATAGTTTGTTGCCAAATTATTGAGGGCCTTAAATATCACGCTCAAGGGTTGAATGCAGTTTACATAACATGACATTTCTAAAACTCTGAAATGAAATTATTGGACCTAATTTATGTTTTAATTGCCTTACTTAAATGTCCGTGTTGCTTATTTCTTTTATACAAGGTGTGAGCATTGTCTTTGCCTTTGTTTCTACTGTTGTTGACCTGGAGGCAAATAATTTCATTAGCTGGGGTTTGTTTTTCTTTTTCCCATTCTCTTTTTGTTTCTCCTAATTTACAGGTTCTTTGAACTTCTTTTGGATTTGAGGTGAGACCCAAGCTTAACAGTAGCACAATTCCTCCAAAGATTTCTTTCTACTGAGTATAAGAAACTAAAAAAAAAAAATCTGATGGCTGAGGGAGACACTCCTGTTAAAAAGGCCTTTTTAAGATTCCACCTCCTGTATTAGGGGAGGTTTATAGAGTCAAAATTTCCTGAGAATAGATGACCCTGATTTGCCTTAGAAGGTTTGATCATGGAAGATTCTGTGGCTGCAATTGCTCTGTCCAGCACCGTGTGCACGCTTTGGAATTTAAATTTAGAGATCATTTAGTCTCTGCAACTATGTCTGGGGAAACTTCCAAATCAATAGCCTGCTTTCTTTCAAAGGCTAGACAAGAATTTGCAAAATATCATCCAGTTTTCTCTTTATAGGTTGAATAAGGTAAAAATGCACACTAGCTTAACGAAGCAAAATTCAAAGCTGCCCTAATTACAGTGAAACAGTCCCTTAGCCTCCTGGATGATGTATCTTACATATTTTCTCAGGAAACAAGGATCAAGAAACTCCATCTGGATTGAAACTTGTTTTTCTGGATATTTTTGTAATGTTTATATCATTTTAATATATCACCGTCAAATATTAGCTCAGACTCTCAAAAGGACGAAGTAGCTTTTATGGTTAAGTTGATGTTTACTTCAAAAGTAATATTATTATATGATTAAAAGAAAACATAAAAATTTACTTCATAGAATCAGTTTCTGACATTTTTACTGTCTAAAAAGTTTAAAATTTGTGAGAGCTCATACAAATGCAATTCAAGGGTAGTAATTAGAATGCCTAAATCCAAGAGTTCTTTCACTCCCATAAATTGTTTCTTAAAAGGTAGGATTTAACAACAGCTTCATGTAGGATGTTCTGTTGCATTACTAAGGATAACTTTAATCAATAAACATATTTTCTAACTTTACTGAAAAATTCTAAATTCCTGTTTCTCTTACTTTTAAATGTCATGTATTTTGTGGTGTTTTCTTATTAATGCTATGTTTAAAAACGAGGCCCAGAGAGTCCTGATCTCAGCAAATATCTTTGTGAATATACTTTTGCTTTGGGGCAAGTACAACTTAATATTCATAACGCTTAGAATTGCAGAAGCGGAAAGTGAAAAGAATCATTGTGATTCCCAAGCTTTAAGTATTGGGGCTAAATAACTGATGTGAACAACTTATCAGGGGATTGGCAACATTATTAAAGTATCATGTAAAAGCCACGATTACTCTGAGTTTCAAAAATCCAGGGAAAGGAAAACTGTAGTGCTAGTTGACATTTCAATAAAATATGGCTAAGAAGAAAATGCCTTGTATCAAGAGATCCTCAATGGACTAGTTTTGAGCAAAACAATAAAGCAGAGACAAAGCAGTAAAATGAAAGTATATTCCAGTGATGACACTTGCAGTCTGAAAATCAATTAAGGCAATTTTGGAACAACATGGAATTAAGTAATTTTATGAGAACTTTAAATGAGAACAAAGTAAATGAGGTACCTGTGCGCGGTAGCACTTCTGCTCACAAAGTGTTATTGCTCTCTCCCCACAGTGTTCACCAAAGTCATTCCAGACACTAGCGAATTTTTGAAGTTGGTTTTTCTACTCCATGAAATTAATGTTATGCAGTATATATCACAGTGGACAGCGTAACTAAGAACCGTAAGGAATTCTTAGGGTTTTAGGGATGTGGGTAAATTTTTTTCTGGAGAAGACCAAAATTAGCTCTTTACTTTTAAGAAAGACTATTTCATTGAAAACCAAGAAATATGAAAGGATATCACATATATGCATTTCTGTCTCTGTTCATCTATTTTAATATTTCTTTAATATTTCAAACAATGGCCATGCGCCATTTATATTCCATAAGTTCATGTATCATTTGTAAATTTATAAATTGGGGATGAGACAAACAAAAAGATTTATTATGCTGAAAAATAGAAAACTGAGATGAGTTTAACAGTATGGAGAGGAAGAAGTAACTTTACAATTTCTAAGAATATTTTTAATACTGCATGTTCCACCCCAATTTGGAGAAATTTGGACTAAGAGTAAATAGGCAGACTCAACCACAGTCTCTAAAGTGAAATTCAGAGGAAAATATTAAAATGTTCTAGATAGAAGAGAAGTAGATAAAAGAGAATTTGATCGTATTCTATATGAGCATTGAAAACAACTAACAGAGTTACTGATGTAAAGCATGCAAAAAAAAACCTAGAAATAAATGGCATGGCAACTATAAAAACATTCTATATGGAAAAAATAATAGAAAGAAATAAGCAGATAAGAAATCTATTCTGGAAGGAAACAATCTAAAATGAGAGGATAACTCACCATGAAGACTTTATTCTCCCTTCTATAGGAGATTATAAGAACATAATTTTATAAAAGAAGGACATTAAGAAAATGATAAATGGGAGCTAAATTCCAGAATGAAGGAAGCAACTTAAGGAGCAAAAGCCACTATCACAGAATTAATAAATAAGTTAGACAAAGTTATGTCCAACAAGAAAAAAATAGACACAATAAAATATCAAACCACTAAGAAAAAGAGTATAATTATGGTGACTCTACACAGGAAAAAATATTTAGATAACTGTGATTCAAAGACAATAATAGGTAGAAACAGCAGAAAAAAAAAATGTAAATCCGGCAAAATAAAAATTCGTTGTCCCTAAAATAGGTAGGTCAACTAAGGTGACAGAAAAAGGCTTCCAAGAATAATCAAGCAAAATAAGGAAGAATTGAATTACAGATCATCAAAAAGATTCCTTACAGTCTAGGAACATT
This sequence comes from Homo sapiens, assembly GCF_000001405.40. Classification (NCBI taxonomy): domain Eukaryota; kingdom Metazoa; phylum Chordata; class Mammalia; order Primates; family Hominidae; genus Homo; species Homo sapiens. The sequence goes on along the minus strand of NC_000007.14, from coordinate 115,079,427 downwards.
TTCTACAGCAATCTAAACCAAGAAAGTCCAGACGAAATTTTAAACTTTGTAGGTAAAGAAATTATTCTTTAGCCAGAAAAAATTGTGTGTGTGTGTGTGTGTGTGTGTGCGTGTGCACGCACATGTATATGTGTATATAAATAATGAGAGGTGAAATGTCAGACTGGTCTTAGACTTCTACTAAATCCAATGTCAAAAGAAATCAGAAGATAGGGGAACAAATGTTAGCAACCTTCAATAGTATCTCAGTATGTTCTGTGTTGCTATAACAGAATACCACAAGCTGGGTAATTTATAAAGAAAAGAAATATTTCTTACAGTTCTGGAAGCTAAGAAGTCCAAGGTCGAGAGGCCCACATCTGGCAAGGGGCTTCTTGCTGTGTCATCCCATGGCAGAAGGCAGAAGGACAAGAAAGCATGAGAGCAAGCCAGCAAGAGAGGGTCAAACTCCCTTTAATAACAGGACACTTCCTTGACACCAACATTGATCCATTCAAGAGGGCAGAGCCCTGGTGACCTAATCACCTCTTAATGGTCCCACCTCTTAATACCATCACAATGGCAATTAAATTTCAACATAAGTTTTGAAGGGGACATGCAAACCATAGCAAGTAGGAAAGACTGTAACTAAAGATTATTATGCCCAACTGAGGTGGTCAAACAAACATAAGGGCAACAGAAAGACATTTTATAAACAAAAACAGCAACAACCAAAAAAATAGTCAGGGAATATACAAGTCATGAGCCCTTTCTGTAAAAAAGGAAAGAAATCACTTGATGTCAAAAATCCAACCAAAGATGCTTGATTGGAGATGCTGGAGTAAAAGATGAAAGGCATCTGTCAACACACAAAGACAGTGAAGCAGTAAAGAAAGCATGAATGAAAATGTATACACAGCCAAATTATCATTCAAGAATAGAGGAAACCAGAAGACATTCTCATTCATGGAGGAAATGAAACAGGCATGAACCTTCTGGAGAAAAAAAAAAATAGAGCAGGCAAAACAAACAAACAAAAAACCTACTTAATGTAACAAAAAAAAACCTACTTTGTCCCAAGGGATGACTTTTACTAAAGTGCAGAACTGAAAAACAATGGTAAAAGGACAGCAGGTTTTGAATCCACTAAAATAAAAACAAAGAGTTGAAAATGTAGAAATCAGAGAAAATTCATATCATTAACTTGGATAATGTACATATAACAACATGGCTTAAAAATTTGGAAGGAACTGATGCTCTGTAAATAGCTGTTTAGCCAATCTGACAAATGACTTTAATTTATGAAACAGGAATTTCCACATACCACCATGCCTCCAAAATATTTTCCTATGTATAAACACCAAAACTGCATAGTTCAAGATAGGTAGCTTTTAGTTCGTTGGGAAGTTGGATCAGAAGAGGAAATATGGGAACATCTTTGTGTGCTTATTTCTCATCTTTCAGCAGACCCCACTCCATACGAGAAAAAAATTGCAACATGTTTTAAAATTTTACTTTATGCTCTTGATGTTTTTCATCATATTTTTCTTAATCTCAGACAAATGATTTGGAAGTTATATCACAGGTGGTAATAAATTTGTATCTAGAGCTCAGAAATTCTGTAAGTTCCACTTCAGTTTTTAAATTCTGTTAAAGGCAATCGAAATTATAAATAATATTTTTAATTTAAAAAGCACACTATTGCTATGAAATCATTTATCTGTCTATTCTTCTGCATACAAATATGCATTATTTTGAGTGATGAGTCAGTGTTTTTTTTTGGTTGGTTGGTTGTTATTTGAGATGGAGTCTTGCTCTGTTGCCCAGGCTGGAGTGTAATGGCTCCATCTTGGCTCACTGCAACCTCCGCCTCCTGAGTTCAAGCAATTCTCCTGCCTCAGCCTCCCGGGTAGCTGGGACTACAGGCACACGCCACTACGCCTGGCTAATTTTTTGTATTTTTAGTAGAGATGGGGTTTCACCATATTAGCCAGGATGGTTTCAATCTCCTGACCTCACGATCCGCCCACCTTGGCCTCCCAAAGTGTTGGTATTACAGGTGTGAGCCACCGCGCCCAGCCCTGATGATCCAGTTTTATTAACAATGATTACTTCAGATATTTTGGTGGCTTGTTAATTTTGGTTGCTTTTTAAATTTGTACTTTTTTTCTGTTTTGAGTGCATAATTAATCATTGAAATATGTCATTTAAAAAGTAATTTTGAAGCAGGAAAATGAAAGAATTGAAATTTTAAAATGCAATGTTATGGGTAGATAACATTATAATTGATACTATTGTGTAAGGGATGTTTCTTAAACTATAAAATAATTTTACTTAAGTTTTATTTAAATTGTATTTCTTCATACAAAACCTTCAATGAGACTCTTTTTGTTTCATATATGTTTCAACCCATATCTAGGATTTTAATATCTTAATCAAGAATAATATTTTATTGGAATCAGAGGTATGACATTTAAAAGTCTACCAGACATTAATTTCATTGGCCTGATACCAAATTCTGGATCCCTTCCTTATACCTCATACAAAAATTAACTCAGGGTGGATTAAAGACTTGAACATAAGACCTAAAACCATAAAAGCCCTAGAAGAAAACCTAGGCAGTACCATTCAGGACATAGGCATGGACAAAGACTTCATGACTAAAACACCAAAACAATGGCAACAAAAGCCAAAATCGACCAATGGGATCTAATTAAACTAAAGAGCTTCTGCACAGCAAAATAAACTATCATCAGTGAACAGGCAACCTACAGAATGGGAGAAAATTTCTGCAATCTATCCATCTGACTAAGGGCTAATATCCAAAATCTACAAGGAACTTAAACAAATGTACAAGAAAAAAACAAACAACCCCATCAAAAAGTGGGCAAAGGATATGAATAGAGACTTCTCAAAAGAAGACATTTATGCAGCCAACAGACATATGAAAAAAAGCGCATCATCACTGGTCATTAGAGAAATGCAAATCAAAACCACAGTGAGATACCATCTCACACCTGTTAGAATGCCGATGATTAAAAAGTCAGGAAACAATGGATGCTGGAGAAGATGTGGAGAAATAGGAACACTTTTACACTGTTGGTGGGAGTGCAAATTAGTTCAACCATTGTGGAAGACAGTGTGGTGATTTCTCAAGGACCTAGAACCAGAAATACCATTTGACACAGCAATCCCATTACTGGGTAGATACCCAAACGGTTATAAATCATTTTATTATAAAGACACAAGCACATGTATGTTTATTGCGGCGCTATTCACAATAGCAAAGACTTGAAACCAACCCAAATACCCATCAAAGTTAGACTGGATAAAGAAAATGTGGCACATATACACCATGGAATACTATGCAGCCATAAAAAGGATGAGTTTGTGTCCTTTGCAGGGACTTAGATGAAGCTGGAAACCATCATTCTCAGCAAAGTAACACAGGAATAGAAAACCAAACACCGTGTGTTCTCACTCGTAAGTGGGAGTTGAACAATGAGAACACATGGACACAGGGAGGGGAACATCACACACAGGAGCCTGTCGGGGGGTGGGGGGCTAGTGGAGGTATAGCATTAGGAGAAATACCTAATGTAGATGACGGGTTGATGGGTGCAGCAAACCACCATGGCATGTGTATACCTATGTAACAAACCTACACTTTTTGCACATGTATACCAGAACTTAAAGTATAACAATATAAAAAAAGTACAATTCTGTTAAAAAAAAAGTTAACATTTATCAGAATTTACACACACACAGAGACCATACCTAGTACAACTCGAAGTTGAGGTAAGTGTAAACAAATGTAAAGATACAGTATTAAATCATAAGTGCATAACATTTTAAAAAAATTTATTCTTCTAATTTCAGATTACTTCTTACTGATCTGAAATTTATTGTTTTCAGCCTAGTATTTGAAAAATTAACAAATTTTATGTTTCTAACGTAAAAACAGTATCTTCTTTTTTAAAAGGTAAGACCCATCCAGGATGAAGACATTCTTGACAGATAAGCTATGCTTTGGAGCATTCCTGAAGTTCCTCATAATTGCTCTACATATGTTAGGCTCCTAAGCATTCCTCAAACCATTGCACTGTCTACCCCATACCAATTATCATGTGGAAAAGTACAGTTAGATGCCTGGCATAAGTTGCAATCTGTCCATAACACATTAAGTTTAGTAGAGAGGGCATGGATTGTGGAAGCAAACTGCTAGTGTTTGAATCCCAGCTCCTTTAGTCACCAGCTATGTCACCCTGGGCAAGTTATTATACTTAACTTCTCTGTGCCTCAGTGTTCTCATCTCTATAATAAGGATGATAACAAAGCCTGCTTTATAACTTTGTTGTGAAGATTAAATGGGTTGAAATAAATCAAACCCTTAGGTATGACCTGGCACATAGTAAGCATGATGTGTTAGTTTTTATCTTTATCATGGTGACAAGTATTAAACTATAACTTATTTGTTCTTTTAAAATCTAAGAGTATACCTTCCAAATATAAGTATTAGAAATACCATGTCTTAACTTGAAAATCAAGTTAGAGACTCAAAACATAGCCTCTGTAACTGTAGGATACAATTTAATAGGCTAAACATACAGTTTGGATTGCTCAGGGCAAACTGAGATTGCCCAGGAAAATCTAAGTTTCTGCTTATTGTTCTGGCATATTTTTAATAATATTTCTTTCACTCTCAAAAGGAAGCCAGTTTAGATGATGTGTTATGATTGTGCTATAATTTAAAGGACAGAACTGTGCCACTTGGATGGACTTGGTTAAGGTTAGAAGCTAACCATACTTTTTAATTAATGTTATCTATGAGAAATTAAAATAAAAGGTTTCTTTTAGTCTTGAAGAAAACTTTTGTTAGCAATTAGTAATTAATTCATTTGTTCATTCAATAAATATTATGGAGTCCCTATTTTGAGGACAAACCTGTGAATAAAATAGACAAGCTCTCTGCTGATGAAGCTTGCCTTTTTGTGAAGAACATAGATAATTAAAAAGTAAGCAAGCATCTAGAATAGCATCTGACATATAGTAGACATACAATAAGTACTTTTAATTCTTTCTTTAATAAACAAGATGTGATTAATTTTGGTAAATATTCTGAAGAAAATAAAGTGATGAAACAAAGGCAATATTTGAATGTTATGCAAAGAATAGGACTGTCAAAAAATGGCCCTGGGTATTTAATCTGGAGTGCCTGGACTTGGATAAGGAGCTGGGATCAGCCCCACTCCCTTGCTCCCAGCCCTTCTTCTAATGGCGGGTCTGCTTCTGAACTCAGCTACACAGGAGTCCAGTGTCTTTCTCCACCTGGGTCCCAGGGTCTTTTTATGCTGTCACTTGAAGTTCACTGACAATTCCTCTTCCCACTTGGCCTCTCAAATCCAGATTCTCTGATCTCCTTCATTAATGAGGTCACTCTAATGTCTAACCCATTATAAGGCAGAGAAATGAGAGGACAGGGTTTTTCCACTTGAGTATGGAACCATACTGCATTTACAGCAGAGCTCCTTGGCCCAGTAGCTCTCTCTCTTACTCTAGGTGATAGAAGATGCCTTCTCTCTTGAAGATGCTGACCTCAAAGTTTTTGCATTTTAATCTAAAAATAATAAGTAACCATTGGAAAGTTTAAAAGTAGAAAGTAACGTGATTTGATTTGATTTTTAAAAATTATTTTGATGGTCATTTAAATAATGGATTTGAGAGGAACAAGAATGAATTTAGGAAGTGACTGTCACTGTCTTAAAACTGTGTGGCTTTGACCAGCACGATGGCAGTGAAAACTGGAAGAAGTGAAACAAATTGAGATCTAGTTTTCAAGGCTTGGAGATGATTTAAATGTCAGAGGTGGGAAGATGAACCAAAATTACTTCTTTCTTTTTTTGAGCCACTGGTTGGGTGGGGTAATATTATGTGAAGGGAACAGGTTAAATCAATAGCTCTCTTTTAGATATATTATGTTTGAGATGCCTATTACCCCTTCAAGTGAAGATACTATACAATGTGGATGGAAACATAAAACGGAGGTTTTTGAGGAAAGTTGGGTTAAAATGTAAATTTGACACTCATCAGCATATACATTATATTTTAAAAGCCATGCGACTGGATATAATCACCTGGGGAGAAAGCAAAGAAAGAAATAAAAGGGGCCAGGATGGGACCCTAAGACACATCAACATTTAGGGTTTAGTTAGAGAAGTAACAAGCAGAAAGAAGAAAAACTAGGAAAACCTGAAGAGTGATCATCAAGAAAGTCAAGAGTGGAGGCTATTTCAAAGAGAAGGGATGAGAAAACTGTACGGAAATCTTCTTCTAGGTCCAGTAATATGAGCACTGAGAAGTGTACATTGGATTTGGCAATATAGACACATTGATAAATTGACAAGAACAGTTTAAAGGAAAGGCTGGAAATTGACTAGGAAGTTGATTGTCCACAGTGGCGTGTAGGAGTGTTGAAGTATAGACAATTCATTCATTAGGTTTTGCCTTCAAAGACAGCAGGGGAATTAGGTAGTTCTTAGAAGAAAAAGTGGGGTCATTGAAAGCTTGCTTGTAAATAGAAGATACCAGAGCGTGAGTGTAAGCTGAAATAAGTGAACCAGCAGAGAGCATGTGATTGATGATGTAGGGGAAGACTGAAGGATCAAACTTTACAGGAAGGTGCAAGATGATAAGACACAGAGAACATTTGAAGAAATTCTCCTTTGAGAGTCAGAGTTTTTTTTTAATTTGTTTTTTATTCTTTGCTATTCTTAAATTTTTGAGTACATGGTAGATATATATATATATATTTATGGAGTGTATGAGATATTTTTCTTCAGGCATACAATGCACAATAATCACATCAGGCTGGGCACAGTGGCTCACACCTGTAATCCCAGCACTTTGGGAAGCCAAGGCAGGAGGACCACTTGAGCCCAGGAGTTCAAGATCAGCCTGGGTAACATAGTGAGGTCCTGCCTCTACAAAAAAAATTACAAAATTAGCCAGGCATGGTGTTGCACACCTGTGGTCCTAGTCCACTTGGGAGGCCGAGGTGGGAGGATCACTAGGGCCCAGGAGGTCATGGCTGCAGTGAGCTATGATTATGCCAGTGCACTCCAGCCAGAGAAACAGAACTAGATCCTGTCACAAAAAAAAGGAAAGAAGGAAAAGAAAAGAAAAAAAGAATAATTAGGGTAAATAGAGTGTCTATAATCTCAAGCATTTATCATTTCTTTATGTCACAAACACTCCAGTTATACTTTTTAGTTATTTTAAAATGTACAATATGTTAACACTGACTATAACCACCCTGTTGTGTTATCAAATACTAAATCTTATTCATTCTAGGTAACTATATCTTTGTAACCATTTACCATCCCTACTGCCCCCGTCACCACTCACTACCCTTCCCAGCCTCTAATAACCATCATTCTACCCTCTATCTCCATGAATTCAATTGTTTTAATTTTTAGTTCTCACAAATGAGTAAGAACATGTGAGTTTTGTCTTTCTGTGCTAGGCTTATTTCACTTAACATAATGTTCTCCAGTTCCAATCATGTCCCAAATGAAAGGGTTTCATTCTTTTTATGGCTGAATAGTACTCCATTGTGTATATGTACCACATTTTCTTTATCCATTGGTCTGTTGATGGACATTTAGGTTGCTTCCAAATCTCAGCTATTGTTAATAGTGCTACAACAAATAAATAAAAATACATATATCTATTTGGTACATTGATTTCCATTTCTTGCGAGGGTGTATATAGCCAGCAGTGGGATTGCTGGATCCTGTGGTAGTTCCATTTTTGTTTTTTTGAGGAACCTCCAAACTGTTCTCCATGGTGATTGTAATGATTTACATTCCCACCAACAGTGTATGAGAGGGCTCCCTCTTCTCCACATTTTCACCAGCATTTGTTATTGCCTGTCTTTTGGATAAAAGCCATTTTAACTGGAGTGAGATGATATTTCACTGTAGTTTTGATTTGCATTGCTCTGATGATTAGTGATATTGAGCACCTTTTCATATACCTGTTTGCCATTTGTATGTCTTTTTTTGAAAAATGTCTATTCAAATATTTTGCCCATTTTCAAATCAGACTATTAAATATTTTCCTGTAGAGTTGTTTAATCTCCTTATATATTCTGTTCATTAGTACATTGTCAGAAGGGTAGTTTGCAAATATTTTCTCCCATTCTGTGGGCTGTGTTTTCATTTTGTTGATTTTTTATTGTTTTTTGTTTTGCTGTCAAGAAGCTCTTTAATTTGATGTGATCACATTTGTCCATTTTTGCTTTGGTTGCCTGTGCTTTCAGGGTATTACTAAAAAAATCATTGCCCAGACCACAGAGCTAGTCTTTTTGAAAAAAAAAATTGCTGAAGGACAGTCAGAGATGATGGATACCAGTGCAGGAAAGTTTGTATTACTGGAAGCATTCCCTCCTGAGAGTTTCTCATTTCTTGGTGAAGTTATGGAGTGTGGGAGTTGGGTGAGGTTTGAAAGAGAGGAGAAGGTATGGCATGGGGTGGTAGACAGAATTCTAAGAGTGACACCCCCCCAAGCTCCCCATGCCCACCCCCCACCGACCCTCTCCCATGTACAATCACTTCACCTTAGAGTAAGGCTGAAACATACATACGTTGAAGCATCATTCATGTGATTATGGTATAATATATGGCAAACTGGAGATTATTTGAGTGGGCCTAATCCAATCACAGAGGCCCTTTCAAAGCAGTTTTCTCAGGGTGGTGAACAGAAGAGGAAGTCAGAGATTTGAAGCATGAGGGAGATTCTATGCCTTGTTTCTGGCTTTGGAGATACAGGTAACCCGGGTCCAAGGAACAAGGGAAACCTGTAGGAGCTGATAGTGGCTCCCAGTTGATAGCCAGCCAGGAAATAGGCATCTCAGTTCTACAACCACAAGGAATTTTATTTAACCACAACCTGAATGATCTTGCAATGTGTCCTTCCCTCAAGCTTCCAGATAAGAGCCTGCCTTGTCCATCATCTAGATTTCAGCCTTGAGAGACCCTAAGCAAAGAACCCAACCCATCTCATTCAGACTTCTGACTTACAGAATTGTGAGATGGTAAATTGGTATTGTTTTAAGCCAGGACATTTGTGGTAATCTGTTATGCAGCAATAGAATACTAATAGAAATAGTTATCCTGGGATTAGGGAAGTTAATATGCTAGGAAAGGTAGTAGAATTTTAATATTGTTGAGTGTCCAGTAGGGATATGTGGTCAATAATATAAAGTAAAACCAGATATTCTATATGTTATATGATTTTAGTATCATCTGGTATTCATCACCTCTGACTCTCCTTCAGCTTCAGGCATAGAGATGTAGGATATTTGGGTTAAATCAGAATTATAATTTTGACAGTTAAGTATGAAAAAAGACAAGAACAAGCATTTTGCAAGGGAGAGTTCATAATAATGTACAATGACACCTAGGTGAGGAGAAATTTAAGACGAGCATACTGGATGGTAAGAAAGTGAGTTATAGTGATCTCAGTGAAGCATAAAAAACATGACAGAAGAAGGGCTGGTGGGAGATGCTGAGTGCCAGTGGAGTGTTTGGAGTCCATGTTGGTGATTTCGAGATCCAGGGGGGTGATCATGGGAGTACAAGGAAAATGTTGTTAGGAGTGAAAAAGTGGAGGAACTGACAAGACAGAAAGTGATGGTTCAGCCTTATGGATGACAAATTACCAAGAATGAAAACGTGGCTAAGAGGAGGACAGAGAGCAAATTCTCTAATAAATAGGAGAATCAACCAGATAGGTCATAAGTTGATAGTACCAAGGAGGGGCAGCAAGTATAATATCTTGATGGAAAAAGTTTTAGTTTTTCAAAAAGGAAACAAGATAAATGTCTTGGAGGCAACAGGAGAGAGTAAGAACACTAACCTCCTGGTCCTAAAATACACAGAGGTTGTGAGAAAAAGTAATCTTTACTCCAGAGTACAACAGGGAGACCAGTACTCTGAACAGGTGGTCAGGTTTCGCTCACAGTAAGATGGCAAAGGGAACTTTCAATGAAGACGTTGAATATATAATAGAGTTGACTGATCCCAGATCTTGAATCTCAGAGGACACAGAAAAACAATTTGGGATGAGAGGTTCAGGTGGAGACTTAGTGGTCATGGTAATAGATATATGGGGCTGTCTTAGAGACAGCAAGTGGCCTGAAGGCTTAGACTTCTGTAGGCAATGGTAATAATCTGGAATATGAGGCAAGCTGGAGTCAATGCTGATTATCTCCTACAAGGAGAAGAATAGCAAGTTCAAGCTGTCTTCTCAAATACATAATGTGGCTGTTTAGGAAGCTATTTCTCTTCCTGGGGGCTCTCAATGGTATGCAATCATGATGGGGAATACTGACCCAGAGTGACCCCTGTACCTTCCTCTAGTTCACCATTCAGTAGTGGTAATGATCCCATAGAAACATAAATGGAAAGCTCTTTTAGTAATATTGGCATCAAAGAATTTGTGTTATTACATGAATGGGAATTTAAATATGAATGGTGGGAATATTCATACCTGGCCCCTAGATTCAGGATCACACAGTGCCAACGTGGCCACTGGGATTCACGTTTTTAACAGGGATTGTGATACAGGACTTCCAAAGGAGGGACTGGGATCTGGGTCCTGGTTTCTATTTATTTCAATATTTCTTTAGTCCTCACTTATTTCATTCTAGCTTTTCTAGTTCCATTTACACATACTTAACCTAAATTGTAAATTAAAAATGTATATATTTAAGATATACAAAATGATGTTTTATACACATATACATAATAAAACAATTACTACAGTCAAGCTAATTTACATATCCATTTCCTCACATAGTTACGATTTTTTAAATTTTTTGTATGATGGCAACACCTAAAATCTACTCTTTTAGAAAATTTCCAGTATATAATACAGTATTATTAACTCTAGTTCTCATGCTGTACATTAATCTCTAGACTTATTCATCCTATGTAACTGTAACTTTATACCTTTGACTCACTTTTCCTCAACTTGCACTTCACCCTCCCTCCTGCCCTTGGCAAACACTGTTCTCTGTTTCTGTGTATTTAATTTTTTAGATTCCACATGTAAGTCACATCTTAGGGTATTTTTCTTTCTGTCTGATTTATTTCATTTAACCTAATTTTTAAAATAATCCTTTGGTCTTTAAGTTCTTAGCCATTTGACCAGCAACTTTCTCTTCCTCACAGGCAATGGTAGGTAACTCAGCTGTAGAAAAAGATTGACTCTGAATGGGAGAGACATGTGGGCCTCAACTTTTTGAATGTTTGCTTCATTTAAGGCAAGCTCTATAGACAGATGACAGATAGATAGATGATAGATGATAGATAGATAGATAGATAGAGTATACACTTATTATTACACATATATAAATATACATATTTAAATTTTTCACCTTTCTTAATTATAATTCAACATGACAATTATTTGAATTTAAGACCATATTGTTAAAAATGTAGAGTTACTAGTAAGTATAATAATTTTACAACTTTCAGATATAATGCACTATTGGCAAAACATGTTGAAGTACCTAAAAAGAAAAAAGGTCAGAAATGATTAATAGAACTTCACAGATATTTACTTTTTTCTCAGCTGTCTTTCTACATTGCACTGAATTTGGTATTATTAAGTGTGACATTTCACCTATCATGTTTTAAGCTTCTTCAGGGAAAATATAAAAATACAGCAATTTTTCTCTTCAAGAGTAAAGTACCAATGTTATGTTGTTATGGTAACTAAAGTTGTAAAACATTTAGAGAAAGGTAGTTTTTCAGAAGTTGCCATAACTTTGTAATCGTGAACAAACAATACCATTTTGTTTGAATGCACTCATTGTTATATGATTGTAATTGTTCCCAGAATGTTCCAAAGGATTTCTAGAAGGATAATTTCCTAAAAGCCTTTAAAAAATTGACAAGCCAAATAATTATTACTTTATTAAGAAAAATATTCCCAGCATTTCACTGAGTTTAGTATACTTAAACTTATTTTCCAGTAATTTATGCATATCTAGAAACTTTTCTATTGAGAAAAAGTATGCATCACCTATAGCTAGGCAGGCGATATAAAATATTTATCAGCCATGCTTATTCCTATTAATTGGGTTTTGAGTGGAGGAGAAAATCAGTATTTTTGGTAACCCATTCTGTTTTAACTGCCCACTTGATATCACAAATATATGATATAACTTTAATGTATAAAATGTAATGATTGTGTTACATCATATATGTGTGTTAACATTTAATTGTCTATTGGTTGTTACATTCTTTTTCTAAAAGTAATACTCTAGTCATATAATCCTCATTTTTATATTGCTATTTCTTTCATATATGAAATTTTTATTAACTGCAAAATAGTCATTATTACTATATTACTTAGAAGCTCAATATAAATATTTATACTTATCCATGATTTTAGTAGCAAAGCACAACAGAACCTCCCAAAGATTAATGTAGTAGTTCTCAGTTGTGCACATAGATCTTTTCCAAGCACCTATTTCAGTTTCACAACCCTGCAGATTCTGATTCAATCGGGATGAAGTGGTTCTGTGCTATCTATATTTTGAAAGTTTCACAGGTGACTCTATGAGTAACATCTTTACTCTTTGAGACCCTTTACACTAAAGTATAAAAAAGGAAGTATCTTTTTAAATATGAGAACATTGCTGAGCATTCTGAAATGAGAACATATGAGAACATTATGAATCTTGTGCCAAATCTTTATTATTTCACAACACTAAAAATGCTTCAAAAAACACTGGAAAATGATTCTCGAATGATATGGTCCATTCAACGGAGTTCGTCATAATTTTTGGCTGGAAGATTCCCCTAGGATCAATAAGGTGAACCACTGGCCCTCACATCAGGTTAGACCTGCAGCCTTGCATTTTGGCCTGTCAAACATGTTTTAATTTGTTTTTAATTGAGTTAAACAATTTTAAATTGTGAGAGTTCAACTTCAACCATTCAATTTCTAGCTTCTGTTGGCAAATCAGAAGTTCTGGCAGCATGGAGCCTGTGCTCCCACTGGGGCTGGACCATGCTGCCCCTTCACACACAGCTGGGCTCTCCTGGTTGCCATGGACCCCGCTTCTCAAACCCTGTGGTGAGGCACACATCCCTCTTTGTCAGTGCTGGCTTCCTGAGCATGTGACCTATGCCCTTGAATGGGGATCTGAAAATTAGTGGTTACATGTAACCGTAACCTTCTCCTGGAAGACTGGGGTTTGTACTCCTGCATCAACCACTGTCTTTTTAAACTAACTCCCCAACCACTTTCAAAATTCATCTCAACCATTTCCCACACCCCACACCAGGGAACTTTATCAGAATCACCAACCTAACTTAAGTGCCTATTTTCTGGGCTCCCATAGCCTAGATTTATTTCTGAAACAAAATGCTCACAACATTGTATAGAAAATGTTTTGTGGGAGCGTATGTCTCCCACTAATTCAAAGGCAGGGGAGTGTTGCATGTGTGAACTGTGAGTAGGCAGAGAAAAGGCTGGGAGAAATGGTATGTAAGTCTCATAAGAATAAGAGCAAGAAGAGTGTCTTCTGTCTTTCATTCATCCAAACATGCATGCACAAAGACGTATTGAGTTTTGTATGCCATACATACGGTATTTTGATGAATATCACAATGGTGATAGAGGCAAAGTCTCTGACCTCAAGGAACTTTAGAAATGATTGAATTAGGCCAGGTGCAGTGGCTTCATGCTTATAAGCCCAGCACTTTGGGAGGTGAAGGCTGGGGGATCTCTTGAGACTAAGAGTTTGGGACCAGTCTAGGCAGCATAATGAGACCCTATCTCTAAAAAAAAATTAGCCAGGTGTGATGGCGCATGCCTGTAGTCCCAACTACTTGGGAAGCTAAGCAAAGAGGATTGATTGAGCCAGGAATTCAAAGTTGTGTGAGCTGTGATCATACTCCAGCCTGGGTAACAGAATGAAACCCTGTCTGAAAAAAAAAAATGAATTAAACTCAAGAAAAGTACCATTTTTGAGATATTCTAATATTGAACTGTTTTGCTTTGTTTTCATCCCTGTTATGAAGATAAAGCTATCAATGTGCTGCAGGCTTAGGGTAGAGAAACCCCACCAGCTAATAGTTTATCAAATAAAGATTAAAGATCAAAGCCAAATGTTTGGCAGCAGGTGGGATAGGAAATTGCCATAACCAAGGTGCCTCACTTAGGAGTGGAGATAGGGACAAAATAGGGAAGGAAAATAATTGAATGAGTATACAGCTGCAATTGATGGGGGAAAATAGGCCAGGGAAGATTTGTGTAAAGAAATGAAGTACTTGATTGCACTTTATTCAAATAAATTCCCATAATATGCCTCAACAACAGCAGCAGCAACAAAAAAATAAACAAGAAAGAAGAGCTTAACTGTTAAAGACAGGATAAATGGTGAGTTAAAGAATGACAAAAAGTCTTCCAAGGCTCTCCAAGAAATAGATGTTGAGTTCTTCTTAGTTCAGATCATTGTGAAAGTTTATAGCTTTATTCCCTCAGAAAGAGAAGCCCTGTAACATGAAGCTTTTATATGAGCTTGCAAAGAAATAGGAGAAAAAAGAGAAATGAGGCAACAACAAAAAAAAATCCACAAAAAATGGCATAAGTAGAAATTCACCTGGATCAGAGATTCTCCGAACCAATTTTCATTTCTAGAACTACCCATCCATGTGATAGCCACTCAAATAGTTTTGAGGATAAAGTAATGCTTTGGGGTTTTAACACTCCACAGTTATGTTGGTTTTAGAGGTCTCCCTCCTTCGATTCTGAGAGTTTGGGTGCAAAAACTTGGTGTACTTCACTGTTAGATGAAATATTTTTATATATCTATCAGTTCATTTTACAAAGAGATGCTTCAGTTATAATGGTTATTTTTAAACTATGGAAAATAAGAGTAAGCTAGAAGCCTGAAATTTAAATTTTAACATATATTTTCTTTCTTTAAAAACAACCTATACTCAATAGAAAGAGTATAGCAAACAGAAGAAACATGGAAAATTAAATGTTTATTAATTCTATTCTCCCTTCATAAAACCTGTTTGCATTTTGGTGTATGTTTTTCCAGACTTTAATGACATAAGTTTTAAAAATATCTTATCTTGCCAATAGATATTCTTCTATATCAACAACATAAGATATGCAAAGTTGCATTTTTTTAATGTGAAATGATTTACTTAACCAATCTTTTACCCTTGAGCATCAGCTACTATACATTCATCATTAATGTACCTAACTTTGTGACATGCATCCTTCTCTCTGTAATGTTTATGTGAACCTTTGAATATTTTCTGGGGTAATATCATAGAACTTGACATGTTTTCTGAGCTTGATCCAATTTTCTCAACTTCCCTTTTAGAAAAATTATATGGATTTGAATAAGAGGGCTTATATTCACATTCCCAGACCAGCACTAAAGAGCGTTGTTCTTTTTATTCCACACCAAATAAATAATTCTGTGTAAAAGAATAAGTTTTATAGTTTAAACTTACACAATTTTAGTTATTACTGATTTTGCTTTATTAATAATTATATTCTTTTTAACATTTTTCTAATTTATGCTTGTATTTTCTGTTGTTTGGGTTTCGTATGTTTGGCAATAACATTTTAATGTTAATATTAGCCCTTTGTTATGTGCACTTTGCTCCAAGCTTATCACATTTCTACATGGCATTTTTTCGAATTTCAGAAGTTGGTGTGTGTGTGTGTGTGTGTGTGTGTGTGTGTGTGTGTGTGTTTAACATGGCTTTATATAATAATAGCATTTATTGAATGATTTCTATATGCTGTACTCTGGACTAAGGATTTTAAGTACAGATAATGGTTAAAATTCGCACTATAATCTCAGTTGGTTACTTTTATTTTCCCCATTTACAAGCCAGGAATCAAAAAGAAGAGGCAGCAGCAGGAAATGTTTTCAGAATTCAGAAGCCAGAGCCATCAGGTGGGAGTTAGAACCAAAAAGTGAGGGTTGCTCAGTGATAGATGGGACCACAGCCAGAAGAACCACTTGGGAGGACCTGGGTCATGAAGGAGACCAAGCTGCTGACCTGCCAGAAAAGTTGTCGAAGTAGGAAAAGAGGGGGCTCCTGGCTCTTCGTTTCCTTTCCAATCTTTTTCTACTAGTTGCTCCCCACTCGGAACCCCAGCAGACGCTAACTGACACAGGAGATTGGGAAGCAACAGTGGACAGTAGAAAGGCAAAGAAAGGATATGTGAGCAGCAAGGCAAATGACCAGCACACATTCATATTGTCATATACTAAGTATTGCTGTATTATTGGATCTTTCTTTTTTTTTTACAGTGTTTTTATTGCACTGATACAATAATCTTTAGTAGTTTGAATTTTATATTTTAATATCTACATGTTATATGTTAAAATTCTCTCTTGTTTTATTCTTTTGTATGTATTCTAGGCTATTTTTGCCTGTTTATTTTTTGAAATGAAATACAGAATCACTTTTTCCAAGGCCCTAGAAATACTACAGGGAAGTTTAGAGATTAATTTCTGAAGGATAGGGAGCAATTTAAGGGGGGACATGTGGATATCTTGCTGAGCCTTATTAATAACACCTTTTATGAAAAGATTATAAAGGTATTCTAGCTAAATTTATCAATTTAATGTAATTCCCACAAAAATATCAAAAATAATTTTCTATGCTACTTAAAAGCTTATTCTGAAATTTATGGGAAAAAGGAGAGTAGAAAAATATTTTGAAAGAAAAACTAAAAACTAAACTAAAATGAATATGTCCTTAAATTTCCACATATTAAAACATATTATAAAGCTACAATAAGAAAAATGGTGTCAAAGGACTCTAATTTATTATTTTTTCTAGCATTTTTATTGCTATAGTGATTATAATCTCTTGTTTCTATTTTAAAAATTTTTTTGCTCTTTCTTGAGTTTATTTAGGCAAGCTATTTTTCTAAGAAAACAGCAATTTTTTCAAGATTTTCAAACTTGTCTTCATTTTGTTCTTTTTTTAAAATTAAAAAAAAAAAATCCTTCTAAGCCTATGGTGTTGTCACCCCATCTGATTCCTAATTTAGTTTATATACCAAGTAAGATGCTTTTGTTTCAATTGACAGAAAATCCCACTCAAATTGGCTTGAGCAAAAGTGGCAATTCATTTATTTGCATTGCTGAAAATATGACTAGATCTCACTTGAGGCATTATTGAATATAGGGGCCCAAAATATGTTATAGAAAAATCGATTTTTTCTGCTTTCATATCTACTGCCTCTCTTTGGCCTACAGTCTCAAATATGTCTTAAGACAGCAGCCAGGATCTCCCAAGATTGGATATTTCTAGTTTCAAATAAAGTATAAAAAAGCAAGAGCTTTTGTACCAACAAATGTCCTGTCATTCTCTTGGGGCCAGCATGGGCTATGTAGCTATACATTATCCAGTTACTATGGGCGGTGCTGACTGGCTTAGGTCTAAGTTGCATGTTTCTTCTCCAGGTTTGGGTAGTAGCCCTTGGTAGGGTGGGGGTAGCTTATCAAATGAAAATCATGGCTGCTGCCAGGAAGAGATATTGAGGAGGTAAGTAAGAAATAGCCATTATAATGTTGCCTCTCTGTGTTTGTTTTCATTATTTCTTGATAAAACCAGCTTGATGATTTGTCTATATTATTGTTTTCTTCCAAAGAATCAGTGCTTGGATTTACTTGAAAAATGTAGCTTTCTAAAACATGAATCTCTACCTTTACCTTAATAATCATTTTTACTTACTTTCTTTAGTTTTAATTTATTGGTGTCTTATTAACTTTTTGACTTGAATGTTGTAAGTTTCTTATCTATTTATGTATCAATTTTTTAATTAAGGTAAAACCAACTGGATAATATGTTGATGATAGCTCTACAGATGGATCCAGCCCTAGATAAATCTCTGCATCTTATTTTTTCCAACTCTGCTTTCCCTTGATGAACAATTTCCAACTATCATGTGACCCAAGAATACAATGAGGAGAAATTTCATCAAAATCAAGGACGAGGATGTCAGTTTCTGATGAAAGATGCATGGCAAAGTAGCATCCTAAAGGAGTCATTTTTATATCTCTGTAAAGGAGGTATCATTCACAATCATGAATTGAGTACCCTTTTGGCATAACATGAGGTATGTTACAAAGTGAGACTAATGGGTATAATAAACATACATAACATTTCTTCTTTGAAATGAGGAACATAATAAGGTTAATTCAAATTGTTTATGTAGATGTACATTCAGTTATTTAATGTTCAATTTATAAACTAGAATTATATACCAATATACCTGTCCTTGTATTTGTGATGACACTTCTTTAACTTAATACATGCTAAACACTGCCTAGCTACCCCTTAGAAAATAACAAATTGCTTAATATTAAGAGTAACCACCCTTGGCTAGGATGAGACACAATGGAATGAAGCAGTTCATAATTATTTTACTCAGGCATTTAATTTAACTAAAAACAATGATGCCATTTGTGTCGAGAACATGTTTTTTTCATGGAAATAACAGCATGAAAGGCCTTATAGGCATACGCTTCTGAATAACCCTGACATATTTCTCACTGAATATTTTTGAGCATTTTCTTGAAATTATGCTGCCAAACATCACCAGATCCTGTTTTATTTTTGTACTCCAAGAGCCTGTATTGCCACATTTCAATTTTCTAAATAAAATGATGTAATCATATAGCAGCGTTTGTTAAATTATAGTTAAGAAATAAGCCACTTGGACACAGCTGGCGTTGTCTGTGAGTAAATGAGGAAGACCCAAAATGAAAAGCCTTTCACTTCCCAACGCAGTTTGACTAGAGCACAACCAAGTTAATTTACAAAACAGCATGGTAGTTGACCCTGGTGAAACTTCAACATATTAATAACATATTAATATTCTGTCTAAGTGGCAGACTACAGAACATCTAACCTAATCCACCTTATGAAAACACTCTACATAAACAAGAGTGAGGTGAAATTTATACATTATTTATATACATAAATTTAAATATAACTTTCTGTGTAGTGGTTAAGAACACAGCTGGTAGAACCAGATTTCCTGGGTTTGAGTCCTGCCCCTGCCACATGTGGTTCTGCGACCTTGTTTCATTTCTCTATGCTTCAGTTTCTACATATGTAAAATGGGAATAATGATAGAACCTACCTCATAATGTTATGAAGAAAACTGAATGAGTTAATGTATTTAAAGCCCTTGTAACCACATCTGCCCTTGAGTATGAGCTACTGTTTTACTTTTTTGTGTGTGTGTGTGAAGCTGCTCACATACATTCTCTACCTTTGTCTAATGTTTCAGGCCCCTATATGGTTGTAATATGTAATAACCAAATATTTATAGCAATGAAATCTGGGACTTAAAAGGACATTCACATGCTGAACCAAAAATCAAAAGGGTATTATGGCTTCTGTGAATTGGGCAGCTCCTTAGTCTTTGGATGAAAGTGTCAGAGATAACAGCAGCAAGGATCTGGTGTCTGATTCCTTGGGGGTTCAATTACTTTCAGTCTTCTCTAACTAAAGAAGGTGACTCCAAATACGAATAGGTAGAAGCACTAAGAATCCAATAACTCCAGGGGGAGAGTAGGTGAACATGACTTCCTGGTCCAAGCCAGAATACTACAAAAGCTTGGTGGGTCTCTCAGAACAATCACCATGAAATACTTTCCTTTCCTGATTTCTAGGACCCCAGATCCTAGAATTCTACTTCCTTATCCCCTCAGCAACAATTCCTGACCCTGCTATCTGGCTTCAGAGTAGCAGAACCAATCAACCTGGCTGGCCTTGCTGTTTTCTTATGCATAATATTCAAGAACTGAGCTGAGCTTGAGTAACCCTGATGAGGTATGCAACACAATCATGAACATGAAATTCTTCAGGCAAAACCTTGTGAGCAGGGAGGCTATTACTCTTCCAAAAACAAACAGAGAGAATGCATGGGAGTTTCTGTAACCCACTCTCTCTAGATATTAGTTTTCTCTGCCAAAAGCAACTGGCTATCAAGAACATTCTTAAAATCATAGTTCAGGCTTAACCTTCAAATTAAAGAGAGGCAGAATAGAGGCCAAAAAATTAAGATATTAGCACACTGCCAGACAGGTGACAAATCTTCTATAAATGCTAGTTGCTATTTTATCATCATTATTATTATGACTGAAGGGACAAAGGAGCCTTTTACAAGGACAAAAGAAATTAATTGCAGAGAATTTTTCAAGAGCATTGGAGAAATCAAATCTCCCTAAGAATAGCATCAAAAACAGTTGGTACTTAAAGTGAATGGAAGAACTGAAGCAAAATTGGACCACTGTGGATAAAAAGTAAAAATTTTTACTGCCTAGACATTTTCTTAGACTCTCAGATTCATCTCCACTTTCACCCTCAATAATCTGCTTTTTCCTTGATTTGTGGGATTCTTCCAGTTGGCAGCCACTCACGGTTCCAGACCCACTTGGCTTGGAATTTTGGCTCACACTTCTTGTCTTATTCCATTTGGACCTGTTAACAAGGATCCAGATTGTCTACTTCATGAATAGCTTATAAAGCACAAAGCACCCGAACCCTAGGAATTGTCCCCAGTATTCCCCCTCACAGGCTTAAGGGGGTCCTTAGAATTCCCGCCATAATAAACCACACAAAGATGATTCCAGGAAAAGAGCATTGCATTTTTGCACTGCCAGTTTGGAAGAAAAACTAAGGATTACCAATAGCTGGATAATTTATAAGTTTGAGAGATTTATATTGCCTCAAAAAGTGACTGTGCTCCAGAAGCGATGGACTCAGTTTTAACAATCCCCAGTAAGGAAAAATTCGATACTTCTATTTTCTATTTTAACTTCGGATGTTTTTGTTGATATTGTTTTAGAGACAGGGTCTCACTCTGTTGCCCAGGCTGGAGTGCAGTAGTGCAATCATAGCTCACTGCAACCACGAACTCCTGGGCTCAAGCAATCCTCCCACCTCAGCCTCCTCATTAGCTGGGACTACAGGCATATCCCACCACACCCAGCTAACTTTTTAAATTTTTTGTAGTGATGGGGTCTTGCTATGTTACCCAGGCTGGTCTCAAACTCCTAGCCTCATGTGATTCTCCCACCTTCACCTCCCAAAGGGCTGGGATTACAGATGTGAGCCACCAGACCTGGCCCCAAATTGGACATTTCTATTACAGCCCCATTATAGAGGACAATTGATTATTTTAAGTTCAGTCACCCTAAACCAACTTTTTTTGGCTGCAATTAAAGTATCCAAAAGAATGGATTAAATATATTTCCTAAAAACTTGACTGTATAAAGTGAAAGGGAAAATGAAGCAGAATCCCAAACAAGAATTATTAATCTATGAGATTCTATTAGTCAAATAATAAGCCCTTCAGGAAACTATTGTTACTTTCTATTGGTGTGGTCTACCTGGTTGATTTTTATAAGATTGAGATCAGGGTCATCTGAAAAGCAAAAATCTTGGTTGCTAACTATTGTCTTTACTGGCTATCTCCACCCCATATTTTTTATTATAATAATCATCAATTATTTTCTTCATAGCTTTTTCGATAATTTGTAATTATTTTCTTTATCATTTTCTCTGTGCTTTGTAAAGTTGATTAGAGCAAAGACTAGATTTTCAGCTTCAAATACAGAGCCAAGTAATAATAAGTGCTGTGTTAATGTTAGCTAAATAAATTAACCTAGCCCAATTTCTTAATGTTACATTTACAGGTGAGGAAATGAGCTTCAGTGGTAGTATTTGATGTACTGGAGATCATGCTTTTGTCCAATGGCAAATTCCAGAAATGAACAATCTCCTGACTCCTAGAAGTTATTTTCCCTTCTACAACAATTTGCCTCTTTTAATAAGTTTAAAAGATGGTTCTCAGCCCTGAGGGCACATTAGAATCATCTGGGGAGCTTTATAAAATTCCACTGACAAGGCCACACTCTTCATCGTTCTCTGGCAGATTCAAAAGTGCACTAAAGTTGGCACTCATTGTATATGTGTGTGCATGTGTGTTCACATGAAGGTGTGCAAAAGAAGTTTTATTTAGGAGCAAATGAAGAAGCAAAACTGTGTTTTGAAAATGCTCATCAGGCAGCTGTGTAGGATGGTTTTGGACAGAGGCTGAATAACAGCAAAATGACCAGCTACTTGTACAGTTCACTAAACAAGAGATAAGAAAGAAATGAACTCAGATGATAGCAGTAGCAGTATCATGGAGGGAGGAGGAAGGACAGATGAGATGCCTATAGAAATAGCTCTACAAGATTTGGAAACTGATTGGATGTGAATGCTACAGGGGAGAAAAACTCCAGGGCCTCAACAATTGTGCCTAGCCTGATTCCAGGAGTAATTTGTTACCCACATGTGGTAAATTAACACTTTGAGTGACAGTGTACCAATTTGCAAATTACTTCTTTCAGGGCATTAATGACTGAAGAGTATAATCACCATGGCATTATTTTTATTGGCATTAGCATTAATAAATATTTCATGAGCAACCAAAAAATTACAGTGCCTATACTTAGAAGAATGTTCCAAAATATGAAATCCAGAACTTAGGTTATCACCAATGACAAAAATTCTCTAAATATTTATAAATAAAATAACAATTCATTGAGTAGAAGATTAATTGAGATGAGTTGCAATTATGGTTAATGTTAAGTAGTTTTGTTTATGTAATTATAAATTGGAGGGCTTGGAGAATTGAGCAGCATGAATTCTAGCAATAATTTAACTATAACATTGGAGGAGTTAATAAACTCTCTAGATCTCAGTTGCCTTATCTGTAAATTGGAGAAAATAATGTTTTATCCACCTGACAGCAACAGTCTGAACTAGATTTTTTCTCCTAGCTGTAGATCTTCAAGTTTGAAAAATATGGAAGCTGATAATTAGTCTGGAAAGGACACTGGACAGGGATTCTAATGCCTTGTGATCCAGACTGTGTTCCAAATGATGTGTACTAAGTTCTGAAGGTTTATGTTCTCCCAAAATCCATATGCTAAAATATTAACTCCCATGTTGATAGTATTAGGAGGTAGAACCTTTGATTAAGTGTTGAAGGCAGAGCCCTTATGTATGAGATTAGTACTCTTATAAAACAGGAGCAAGTGAGCTCATTTGCCCCTCCCACCATGTGAGGACGTCGCAAGAAAGTGCTGTCTGCTGTCTGTGAACCAGGAAATAGCCCTCACTAGACACCCAATCTACCAGCACCTTGACTTTGGACTTCTGTCTCCAGAACTGTGAGAAATAAATTTCTGTTGTTTATAAGCTAATTTGTGGTATTTTATTATAGCAGCCCAAACAAAGACAATCTGAGAATTGTACTAATAATTTCTAATTTTCTTTCTAGCTCTAAATTTTAAAATTCAATATCATGGAATATGATCCTTTTGTGAAGATACCAAAGGAAACTAGCATACTGAATTTCTAGAAAATTGAGAAGACAGTGGCCTAGATCTAAAAAGAAAAGAGGAGGAGTCACAGAATTGTTCTTGAGCCTTTCTTCATCCACTGGTTGTATAAATGCTCTTGAAGTCTTGTGGTGGCATTGCGAGACTTCTCCACAATATTTAAAAATTTATTTTGATATGAGTGATTTTATTGCATTTTCAAATGTAGGAGGCCAGGCCTTTGTTTTATAGAAAAATTTAAGAGAATTTACAAGAGAATTTTTCTGTTGTATACAAATGTCAGGTTTGCAATAAAGAAGGCACTTTATTTTGTGGCATTTTTGCAGATCCCTCTTCATCATGCCTGTAGAAGCATGTGAGTAAAACAAATTAATGATTTAGTAGGATTGAGTTGATGAAATGCAGCAATAAAGACTGCCAGGTAAAGGAATAATTCAGTCTTTTATTTTTAGCCTCTCAAAAGCTATAACACCAGGGGGAACTAGTCACATCGCCAGCAAGTTCATAGAAAATGCCCCCAGACCATTGGAAATGCTCTGCCAAATTTATCAAGGAATTATGAATGAACTAGACAAATAAATCAAGCATCAAACATCAATAAGGCAGGTGTGAGATGCTGGTGAGCACCATTTCCCAGAAACTTGTCATTTACACAAGCAAAAGAGAGGTTTATATAAAATGCAAATACAAAATGATAAAAATCTTAACATGAGGACCACTGCTCCAATAAGTTTACTTTAAGAGAAAAATAAAAAATAGAATTCTTAATGGCCTGAAACTGAACTCCAGTAAATATGGCAAAGCTATTTAACATAAACAGTAGAAAGAACTGAAGTTAATCAGTTTGTAGGAAATAAATAATTCAACAAATATTTATTTGAGCACATACTATCTGCCTTGGTGGGGCTGGAAACAGAAAACTCAATGTAGCAAATCAGTCTGTTAAAAGGGAATATGCAATGCTCTTCCCTGTTAATTTCTTCTAAAAAGAAGGAAGCGAGTGAGGGTCTTAGGTTTTGTTTCACTCAGAGGAGGAAATAGAATAGTCAGGGTGAGCTTCATTGAAAAAGTGAAACGTGAGCACAGATTCAAGAAATCTGAGGTCATTAACCAAGTCATAAGGGGGAAGGCACATAACAGGCAAAAGGCCAAGGTACTGCAATGAAAGTGTGAATGGCTTGTTGAGGAAGAGCAGAGTCTACTATAGTTAGGAAAGCAGGAATAAGTGAGGAAGTGCAGTCAACCAATAAGGTCAGAGAGCAGAGTGGATGTGAGTAGAACAGATAATTCAGTCGGGACTGGAAGCCTTCTTGGAAAGAACTTGGGCTTCTACCTGAGGTTTTAGGCATAGGAACCATATTATTGTCACAAAGGAATTAGAACTATGTTGAGAAGGGACTGAAGGTGCAGCAAACAACCTATTAGCAGGCTGTGGAAATATAGGAGAGCAGCATAACTCTCATGAAGATGTGCTCTGAGCTCACTGCTAGTAATAGGAAGGGGTTTTGTGGTGTGATATCCACACTTGCTTCCCCATGCTAACTGATATCCAAGTGCATACAACACATGGTGGATTTTGGAAGGGGTGAAGAGAATTGCCCACATCTGAAGATTCTGTTCCTTTCTTTGTAAATATCTCTTTCCAATAATTTATCCTCTTTCTTAGTTCAGCTGCCTCCTTTCTTCTCCAAATCCAAAGCCATATTGCTGGACCCTTCCTCTAGACTGAGCTCTAATTCCCCACCTCCAAATACCTCCTAGTTTCCACTTGATCATGTGTCCATTTCCCCAAGTCAATGTTTCCAAAATCTATGATCCTACTTGATCCTACCTAAGACTCTTCTAAAAACTATTTTCATTGATAAACAAAATACTTCAAAGGTCCACAGTGTATATAACCTAGCACCTAAAGAGGAAGGATCATTTAGTGTGCAAATATTATTAGAAAAATAAAAGACAAAAGTCAATAATTTTGATTGTATGAAAATTAAATTATGTTTATCAAAAATGTAATGACTTCTAAGATAGACAAACCAGAAAGAGTAAATAAAAGTCTTTAAAAATGAGATTCCGTGTTTCCATAATCATTTTTGAAAAGTTCTTTTCAGCAATGCCATCCACTGTCAGTGGGCTATTTAGGTTGGATGTCAAATGGGTACAACCTTTTTGAAGAGCAATCTGGTAATACCTGCTAAGTGCCTTTTTAAGTCCAATTGGCAGTATAACTAAAGTTTTATTCATTTTCTTAAGAAAGGACAAATTCAGAATGTGTTTATGAAAGTGTTTTCAAATAATTCGTTACAAAAACAGAGAATGAGAAATTACCTAAGTGTTCGACAATAGATCCAGTAGTTGATTTTTACACAACCATTAAACATATGATTCTGTAAAAAAAAAAAAAAAAAAATTGTGTCCCAGCTACTCGGGAGGCTGAGGCGGGAGAATCACTTGAACCCAGAAAGCGAAGTTTGCAGTGAGCCAAGATCGCGCCACTCCACTCCAGCTTCGGCGACAGAGCGAGACTCCATTTCAAAAAAAAAAAAAGAATTTTGTGGGTACATAGTTGGTGTATATATTTATGGGTTATATAAGATATTTTGATATAGACATAAACATATAATTCTTGAACAATACTGGCCATAGGAAAATACATACAATTGAATGTAAAATTTTATAAAATGTAAAATTACAAATATAGCATATACTAGTTTCCTATTGTTGCTGTGACACAAAATACCACAAACTTAGTTGCTTAAAACAGCACTACATATTATCTTACAGTTCTGGGAGTCAGAAGTCTAGAATGGGTTTCCTTGGGCTGAAAAGGTGTTAGCAAATCAGCCTTCCTTTCTAGAAGCTATAAAGAAGTTCAGAAGCTCTCATGTTTTATTGCCTTTTCCAGCTTCTAGGGCTTTGATATGGATAGGCTTTGTGTCCCCACTTAAATCTCATCTTGAATCGTAATCCCTAGGTGTTGAGGGAGATACCTGGTGGGAGGTGTTTGGATCATAGGAGTGGTTTCCCCCATGCTGTTCCTGTGATAGTAAGAGAGTTCTCACAAGATCTGATGATTTTGTAAGCGTCTGCTATCTTCCCCGCTTGCATTTCTCTTTCCTGCCACTATGTGAAGAAGGTCCTTGCTTCCTCTTCACCTTCTACCATGATTGTAAGTTTCCTGAGGCTTCCCCAGCCATGTGGAACGGTGAGTCAATTAAATCTTTTTCCTTTATAAATTACCCAGTCTTGGGAATTTCTTCATAGCAGTGTGAGAACAGACTAATACAGGCTGCCTGCATTCTTTGGGTAATGGCCCCCTTCCATCTTCAAAGGCACTAATGGATAGTCTTTACCGCATTTTATTACTCTGATATGTATGGACTCTTCTCTCACTTCCAACATAAAGGGCTTTAGGATTACACTGGGCAGACCCAGATAATCCATGATAATCACTTTATTTCAAGATCAGTGTTTAGCAAATTTAGTGCCACCCGCATCCTTAATTCCCCCTTGACATGTAATATGTAAATTGGCAATATATAGTCTAATATATTCACAGGTTTGAGGGATTAGGACATGGATATCTTTGGGGCCCTTTATTCTGTATAGCACAGTATGTTTTAAAATTTTATAAGCTATAATACTTTTATACATATGAAATGATTTGAAGGAAATGTAATAAAATATCAATAACCAATCCCAGTGGCTGGATAACAAGTAGTTTTTGGTTTTTTTCCTCTATACTCTTTTTTTATTCTTTCTTTTATTTCTGTTTTTTTTTTTTTTGTTGTTGTTGTTTTTTGATACAGAGTCTTGCTCTGTCACCCAAGCTGGAGTGCAGTAGCACAATTATGGCTCACTGCAGCTTCAATCTCCCAGGCTTAAGCCATCCTCCCACCTCAACCTCCCAAGTAGGTGAGATTACATATGCACGCCACTATGCCCAGCTAATTTTTTTATTTTTATTTTTCATAGAGATGAGAAGGTCTCACCATGTTGCCAGGGCTGGTCACTAACTCGTTGGCTCAAGCAATCCTCCCACCTCGGCTTCTCAAAATGTTGGGATTGCAGGCATTAGTCACCATGCCCAGCCTACACTTCATATCCTCCAAATTCAATGCAATGAGTATTTTAATTTATAAAAAAGTGGAAAATAAACTTTCTTAATGACTTTATCTTTGCTATTACATTAATCCAAATTCCTTTTTATAATTGTCAAGGCAAATTTTTTCACTTCATAAATCAGAATTTCACTGATTCTTTCCCACCTTTTTCATCTTCCTCTCATCTTGTTCTTCTACTATTTTACTTTTACAAATGCCAGCCGTCCTTCAAAGTCTAGAGTCTTAACCAAAAAGCTTCCTTAGATTATCACAGTTCTTACTCATCTAAAGTTCTCCAACACAGTCTGTACCATGAAATTCAACCAATTGCTCACCACTTCACTTCGGAAACTCGTATCTGGTATCACTAATGAAAGGTTGCTTCTCAGAAGCCAGCAGCACCATGCTCCGTATTGCTGTCGTATTTATTCATTGTATCTTGAGGCATGTTAACAATATTATATGTACTCCTAAACATTTGTTGAAGTATGCTTCTAAGATTTTGAAGTAATATTTCTTTGATTTCAAATCATTTTATTCATTTCTGAGATGTTTTATTCTTTTTTTTTCTTATCTTCTCAATGAAAACTGTTTTAGATATGAAAAGAAAACCCATTGTCATCACCTCCTTGGCCACTAAATACTTAAAGTCACCCAATATGTGTGCTGTTAATCCTGTAATTTCATTTTTTCCTTCTGTACTCATCCCTTTCTCTAGTCTGTAAATTAATTAAGCCACCTACAATTAAAATAAAATTCCCACATCTCTGCATTTCCTTCCCTCTATGCACTGTCTTGTCCCATTGACAGCCAAGCCTCTTAAAAGTATATTTTCTCTATTGCAGCCTCCTTCACTTTCTCCCATTTCTGCCTTTGGTCTCCACCAGCAACACTGACGCTGATCTGACAGGTTACCAACCCTGCTGATAGCCAAATCAAGTGGAATAACTTTAATCTTCACTATCCTTAACTGCTGAGCAGTACTCAACAATAGTAATTGTTATCTTCTGGACACTCTTTCTTGACTTCAAAAAATGTTTTGTCAACTAGACTATAGGCTTATTCCCACCTAGTGTACCCTCCCTGCTTGCCACTAGAATGATCTTTCTAAAACATAGTTCACCATGGTACTTTCTACAATACTGAGAAGGTCCTGTATCTTTAAGGTCCAATATAGTAGCAACTAGAAACGTGTGACCACTGAGGACATACTACGTGGCTAGTGCAACAAAGAAACTGAAATGTTAACTGTATGTCAACTGTATTTAATTTCAATTAATGCTAATTTAGATGGCCACATGTAGCTAGTGGCTACAGTATTAGACAAGCTAGTTCTAAAATATATGATACTTTTTTATGGCTGCCCATTGCCAAAAAGTTCTCAAACTTTAACATGCCTAAGGATTATGTGAATAACTGGTTTAAAATGTCTATTTCAGGGTTTTAGCCTATCTATCTATCTATGCATCTATGTATCTATCTATATAATCTATCATCTTTCTATCATCTATGATCCATCTATTTACTTTAAAAGCCAACAGCCTATTGAACTAATAGTCATTTTTTTCCCCAGATACTGACGGTGAAAGGGATAGATGAGGTGATCATTTTTCTTCTTTAGAGATGGACAGAGTCAACATAAAATTGTAATAGCCTTGACCTAGGCTCAGATGACTGGTTGATACATGATATAACCAGCTCCAATCATCCTCAAATTTAAAAGTTTATTGACATTATGTTTTAAACACTGTTCTAAGCACTATCCTCTTCCCAAGTTTCAAGGTATTAAAACCCAGATCTAGAAATGAAACAACTTCCCTACTATTAATTTCAAGGGCAGAAGTCAACATGACACAAATTAGAAACATAATCAACTTTATTGCATTAGAAAAATTAATTTAAATCAGGTGGGTAGGTCAGATCTCTGTGGTTAGGGTCCAGGAGTATAAATTCTCAATCTCAGGTGAATCTAATGGAAACTGTGGCCGAAAATTTAAAATACAAATTCCCTACCATGTTCTAGGAAAACCTTTCATGACTTTCCAGCTTCATCTTATTTATTACCACCACATTTTTCCTACCATCCTTTATCTTATTTTGCCAAGTCATAGTAAACTACTTCATATATATATATATATACACACACACACACATATATATAGATATGCATAGAGCAGCATAGGTAGATCTAACTCTGTTTTTTTTTGTTTTGTTTTGTTTTGAGACAGAGCCTTTCTCTGTCACCCAGACTGGAGTGCAGAGGTGCGATCTCAGCTCACTGCAATCTCTGCCTCCCGGGTTCAAGCAATTCTCTTGCCTCAGTCTCCACAGTAACTGGGATTAAAAGCATGCATCATCACCCCTGGCTAATTTTTGTATTTTCATTAGAGACAGGGTTTCACCATGTTGGCCAGGCTGGTCTAGAACTCCTGACCTCCAGTGATCTGCCTGCCTAGGCCTCCCAAAGTGTTGGATTACAGGTGTGAGCCACTGCACTCAGCCAATTAGATCTAAATTATTGTTCTGAGTAGAAAATATAGGTGATTCAATAAGCAATATCATTTACAAAATTTAAAACTATATGCAAAAATTCAATAAGATATTTGATAGAATGTATCCAAAGATGATTGAGTGAGAAAGAATGGGAGTATGGTGTGTGGACAAAAGAAAATAAATGAATAGATAAAACAAGAGAGGGACTTTGTTTAAACCAATTATAATATACTATACCTGGAGAGAGAAAGAAAGAGAACTCTCACTAGTATTAGAATATGTTAATAAGAGTAACTGTGAATCGCCCTCTGAGGTTTTTAAATATAAACCTACAACACTTTGTGTGCATTACTGAATGAAGGCACTAGGTGTTGAAAGCTGAGACATTAGCAACATACCCTTTTTACTCACAAATATACTTGTGTTTCACTAACGGGGCTGAGAGAGCAGTTAATTTTGTCAGTTTATGGCTTGTTCAATGCCTATTTTCCAGTTGTCTTAGTCGTCCACTACATGCTTGTTTTTAAGCATTGTTTCTCTTAGAATCAAAATATCTTTTTGAAAAGAAAAGAAAAACTTGTTAAGTACTTCATTTGCTTGGTATATCCCTAATTTATTCATTCAACAAAAGCATATATTTATCTATCTTCTAGATATACTTGCCAGGAACTATGCTAAGTTCTGTAATGAATGTAAAATATTTCTGATGATTATGAAGTATGAAGTAGATGGCCTCCGAAAGTCTGATTATTTACCCTCAAAGCTTATCATGGTTACTATTAAATTTAATCCTTATGTCTAGACCAATCAAATTTATGTTAGCACATGCAGGTTGTTTTAATTATATAATTCCAGCCCTTCATTCCAGAAAAAAAAACAACACACAATCAAAGACAGATTAAACTGTAGCCTTGAATTGCAGAAAGTGATAGTGGAAAGATCTTATATGTAAGGTATTTGATCTATATTAAATTACTCTTCAATATATTTGTCAACAGTTTACTTTCCTTGGTGTTCATCTGTATATATATTTCTCACCAGAATGACCGGCATAGGGAGAATATTTAAAAAGTGTTATCTAGTCCAAAAAACAAAAAATTTAACATTCCGTGTTGTTGTTGACCGACTAAATCTGGTTCTAATACTGAGTGGAATTTCCAAACATGACCCTGGGGCAAGCAGAAAGCAAACGTCAACATATTTCCCAAGGTATTAAAACTATCAGAAGGAAGTACTAGTATTTCCTTAAACATACACAACACACAATGAATCAAGATATGATGTCATGCTTTATCGAAATATTTATTTTCATTACAATTCACACAGTTCTTCAAGGTCAAAGTGACACTAGTCTTACTAGAAAATATGGGATTTGAGTTACATAAATCATTCTCTACTGTTTAGAAAACAAATCATGAATTTTCATGAATTTGGGACACAACTCTAGGAACTGGATGGTATCAAAATTCAAAGATAAGTGGCAATATTTCTTATTTCTTTTTTAAAGCTTTCATTGGAAAAAAAAAAAGTTAACTTTTGTGGTTATGTTGAAAAAAAAATGCAAAGACCAGTACAGCCTATCCTTTTTTCTTTTAGAAGTTGTGGAGGCCTTTTTTTCAGCAGTGTGATTCCCTGACATCCCCCTACCCTGCCATTCTACTAAATTTCCTCTCACATCTTCTATACAGCCCCCTCCCACATACACAGGACAGAAGTGGAACAAGTGGAGAAGAAAATGATGAGAGTAATGCCGAGGGAAGACAGCAGTGTGTTTAACATCACAAGATCAGAGGGAGCCCAGAAGCAGAACCTAGAAAAATCCTTTCACAGCATGCAATATAGAACAAAAATCCCCAGAAAACTCAAATACTACTATTATCATGTTTCAAAACAAGAAAGCTAAGAAAGGTGACAAAAGGACCCAAGAAAAGATAGCACATACTTTCAGCCACCTGTGTGTCGGGTGGAAAGTTTTCATCAGAACCCTTTAATTCTTTCTTTTGATGTATAAGCCCAATCAAGACAATAATATGTCCTTGAACCAAAATGAATTCTCTATGATAGACTATCACTCTGGGTGATAAACAAAGCTTTTAAAGACATAAACTAGCTCTGTAGGTGGCCTTCACTCACTCCAAGAAAGCCTTTGATTAAAATAAAAATGTATGTAGGAACAAACTTGAATGAAGGCATACAAAAGGTTTCATTCCATTTGGGAGAAATAAACATGAAAATGAGACCTTTTCAATACCCCTACAAGGAAAGACAAATTGATCAAATCAGACAGTAAGAAAAAAGGAGAAAAAACAACTGCCCTTCAACTACCTCAAGATTTTTAGGAAAATAAAGATCAAGGGTTGAACTACCCTAAATAATTTTTTTCTATAGCATTCCTTAACATGCTCAACAACAAATATGAACATCTGTTCAATTGGCTTAGCTCAGAGTGCTGAAAAGCAAACAAAAGTTAAAGGAAGCTTGTGACTTCTGACCTAACGGCAATCTGAGGCAGCCCTCTCAGATGAAGAGATGAATACTGGTGCAAACCAAGTGAAAGAAATCAAAAAGCAAGTGAGAAATGGAAGAACAATGGGAAACAAAGGGACGAAATTGGAGCTGAGCTGGATTTTCGTATTAACAACAGAACTCCTAATGGATAAAAATTTCTTCTGGTTCATAGCTATAGATGACTATAATTAATAATGGAATCCCTTTCTGCCTAGTAAAAACATGTGGAAACATAAGTTATTAGGTAATTCACAAAGAAAAGCAATTATAATTATTGTACATTTACTCACCTAGAAGAGTATCCTGTTGGATTTTGAATATAATGTAAACAAAACTTTCTAAAGACAATTCTCGTAAAGTGAGTTCATAGCACAATCACTAGAAGCACAACCGTTTTCAGAATTTCGAGCGGGTAAGAGAAATTCAGAATTGAGGGTCCTGTTAGTAAACTCACCATTTGATGTCTCGAAGAGCACCAGAGTACTTAAAAATGGCAGAGATCAGCGGCAAACCATTCACTTTAAGTTCTCTAAAAGTACATTTTTAAAAATACCTATAAGCTTTTTGGGGAAGAGAGGTTGAATTTGGCTACATTTGGTTGATATGGCTAGGTATTGTTTTTCTAGGAAAACCAAAAGAAATAAAAAATGTACATGAACAGACATTTTTAAACTATCACAAGTTCTGCTGACAGATTTGATGGTTCATAGAGCAAAGATATTGCAATCTGACTTTACTGTAGAGAAAATAGAAAGTAGAATTTTAATTTTTTATTGTTTCATTTTAGCATATTTTAAAATTTTTAAATACAAGGAAATGCTGAAATGCTATCATGTAAATAAGATAGAATTTTAAATTAATTTAAGTGTTCCCTTCTCATTTATTATCTCACACTGAAATAAAAGTGAGGAAATAAAAACACAGTAAGTTAAATACTAATTCTTCCACAATTCAAATTTTTTTGGCCAATCCCTAAAATCACATGTGATCAGATATTAACAATTCTTGATTTGTCTTAATAATAGGGTACTGGTAAGGCAAGAATAATTTAAATCAATATTTATTACCCAAACCTATTTAAACTAATATTTTTTTCTTTTATCTCATCAAATATTTCTTATTTTAAAAATCAGAATTGCAAATAATCAAAGACACTTATGAATACACTAACAACTGGGGCTCTGCGTTAAGTTATATATAATGTACTTTATTTTTGAAACAGTACAAAATGCTTGGAGGAAGCATCAAAAATATCTATTAATTATTAATATCCATAAGGAAACCATACATAAATGCATTTAAGCACTCTTAACTGTTTTATTCAAATAATTACGAAGTTTCAGAATGACTGATTTTTGGTTTTGCGTAGTAAAGAATACTAATATAGATAAATTATCAATTTAATAATAATTTTTTAAATGCCTGAAATACTTGGTCTTAGCAATTTATTTTTTTCCTGGCATGCTGTTTAGAAATTTGGGAAACACAGATCACAAAAAGAAGAACAAAAATCACTAAAAGTATTCAAATCTCACCAATTAGAGGCAACCACTATTAAGTATTAGCGTATTTTTCTAAAAGAGTGAAAGTGCTAGAGAGAAAATTTTATGAAATTAGGAATTTACTTTTTTTTTTAAAAAAAGCGCTGTATTCTTACATAAAGGATATCAATACCTTGTCTCTTAATGTTTGTAGTAACAATGTTCCCAGTTAGCCATTTTGCCTAATAATTTTGTTTCTGTGTTTTGAAGTTGGTTATTTACTTTTTGGAAATTCATGAAGTGAATCCTCTTCCTGAAGTGTAATCTTTTGGAATCAGGGACTTTGTTTCAACATTATGTCTTTTCCCCATTGCTTTCAAACCTAAAAAGTCACTAAATATTTATGTAAAAGATACTGGTGGTTTGATCAGAGCAGTTTTTTGGGGCAGCAATTTTCAAACATTTAATTTCAGATTCCCATTATGCTGGGTTATATCTGTCCATAGTTTCCATATTCGAAATTAAAACAAAGATATTTTGTGAAACTATATTTTTAAATACATTCTATACAAATATCATGTTTTTGTGAAAAATAACAATATTTTCCAAAATGAAAATATTTAGGAAGAAAAGTTTCATTGTTTTTACACACTTGCAAAACTCTCTCATGTCTGCCTTAATAGACAAGAGCTGGAGTCTAATATCTGTTTTTGTACTCAGTCTATTGCAATATGGTGCTTTGCTTAAATTAGAGGAAGAAAACTCCAGCTTTACACAGATATGTTGATAGAAAAAGAAAGAATATTATGATAGTCTTTTAAAATAGTTGTCGATATTCTTCTTTGATGGTCCTCACACACAAAATATTGCATATATAATTGCACACACGCTAGTCTTTTACAGGTTAATTGCAACTAGAAATCTGGAACCATGTCAATAAACTTTTTGTACTGTTGCATTAAAATCTATTGACCTATCTTGCACTTTGAATGGTCTTTTACCCTTACACAATCCTATAACATCATTCATTTATCTTTGGGAAATTTGGTTCCCTTAGTTATGCAGAGCTGCCAAATACTAACATCTTTCATTATGTTTCATTATAAAATGTTTTCAAATTGCACTTATTGTTATTATCATTGATTTTATTTTAAAAACGATTCTGAGTAATGGATACACATTTTCAAAAATTCAAATTTTCACTTGAAAGTTCAAATTTTATTATTCACAATAAATGCTGACCATTGTTTCCCTTGAGGTGACAGATTTACTTCATCCATTTTAGAGATAAGTCTGCCAAATACCATAACAGCCTGAAAAACTGTAGGTTGTCTATTAGTAATTATTTCAAATAAAAATGATTCACCATGAAAGTGGCTTGTTTAGCTCATGATTGAAACACACAAGTGTTTTTCCTCAATACAGTCATTTTATTACAGCATGCAGAAGTGTTCTTCCAATTTTATCAAGCTGAATATTTAGAAAATCTTGTGCCTAAGGGTCAAGATTGCATGCAACTAGTAGGTATTATTGCTTCATCAAAGATATTCTTAAGGGAAAACCGCAGTTTCTTTTAATATCAGCTTGTGCTGACACAGGAGACAATGATTAATTTTGCAGCTTGGTACCAATGTCCTGCTTTGTGTTAAAGATCAGGTTTACTCACCACTGCTTTTGCACCATAAGTATACAAATATTGACATGATGAAAAACATAAAATAGTGTCTTTCTGTTACTATGAAAATAGTTTTAATCTTGAAGACCCACTGCAAGGTTCTCATGGGCTCCCGGGAGTATGTGGACTACATTTTGAGAACCTCTACTTTAGATAATTTTTCTGACAAGATTCCTGGGGAAGGCCTGTGATTTATCCAGTCCTATTGCTCATTGTTAGAATAATAGTTTGTTTTATTTAACATATAACATTAATCCAAAGAATCTTTAAAAATCAAATTGGCAAATATCCTCCTCCCATCCCCAGCCAGCCACCACTACTGAATAACCTGTCCACTACTACCCAAGATTGCCAAGGTCATAAAAAATAAGGAAAGACTGAGAAACTGTGACAGACCAGAGAAGACAGGGGAGCCAAGCCAACTTAAAGCAATGCAACACCCTGGACTGAACTGTACAACACATCAAGGATATTAATGGAGAAACTGATTAAATCTAAATGAAGTCTGAAATGTGGTTAATAGTAATGTAGCAATGTTGGTTATTAATTTTGAAAAATATGATGTAAGGTATTACTAATGGGGGAAACTGGATGATAACAATACAAAAACTCTCATTGCTGTCTTTGCAACTGTTCAATGAATCCAAAGATTCTTCTAAAATTTAAAAACAATAAGTTTTTGAGGGATAAAAATCTTAAGGCAGATCAAGGACCCACATACAGAGCTCAAAATTACTCCTCTGCTCAAAATTCATTTGCTAACTATTTTGTACAAAGTTAGAGCCAAAGTGCTTAAAATCCCTGTATAATTTGGCCACCCACCCACTTTCTAGTATTTTTTTTAGGTGGTCTTTCCCTAGCTCACCTTGCTCCAGCCATGCAGGACACTGGGCAGTTCCTCTAACATCTCAAGCACGTGTCTGCGTCAGGGACTTTGCTCTTGCTTTTCCCACTGCCAGGGACATTCTTCTCCCAGATAATGGAGGCCTCTGTACAAATTTCACCTTATTGGAGAGCTCTCCTTCATCTATTCTATATAATATAATAACCACCTTTGTCATTCCTTATTCCATTTACTCTGCTTTATTTTTCTCAATCTGATATAACATCACCAGCTAACATATATTGTTTATTGTCTCTTCTTCCTGAAGTGCAATCTTTTGAAGGCAGGGCGTTTACTTCAACATGATGTCTTATTCCAACATTATATCTCTGACTAATTTTATGTGTGTTTAAAAAGTATTTTGATGATATGAACTAAAATTAGCAGTTTTTTTAAAACATTGTATTTTCGTAGCAAAACAAAATAATTGAAAATCCTGTTTATTCTTAAAACTGTTTCTGGAATTGTTACTGGTCTAAGACATCTGAAAGTTTGATTTTAAATTTCTGCATACTATAAGGCTCTAGGGAGATTCAGGGGGAAATATAGACTGAATATCCGAATGAGGCAACATTTTAATGGCCACCATTATTAATTTAAATATTACTAGTACAAAATAGCAACATAAATATTATATCTTCTAAAATCTTATAAATCTGGTAACTTCTCTAAAAAATTTCAGGTAGAAAAACCTCTAATAAATCTTATCTTCTGAAGGGTATTATTTTTCACTCTGTGTGTAACACAAAAATGAACTGGGAAATGATTTAGGTCTTTTTTCTAAGATAAAGATTTAGTTGAAGGATGTGTTTTTGATATTTACCTAATTTTTCCCCACTGAATATGTAGGTATGCTGTTATATATATATATATACACACACACCTTATTTTAATTCATATTACTAGATAAGTGACAATCTAAGTAAAAAGTACACAATATTAGAAAAGAAAGTCCTTCAAGGTCTGATTGCATTGTCCTTCGCTAATTGTGCCTAGCAATTTATTCAAACTTTGAAACCTTTTTAAAAATTATGTTTCACACCATTTATAAATAACAGCAGAAAATTAAACGCTACACTGTTGTATTTTGAGTTACCGTATTTCTTAAAAGACAAATGGTTTTCTTTCTACATTTATAGAATTCTAAATGATAAAAAAGTTTCATTGAATTCTGAGCTATATTCAAATGTTATTTCTTACTTTTGCATTTCTTAGATTTGAGATACAAAGATGGTTATCATTGGCCCAAAAAGTAGTGTCCAATTTTTAATATTGACAAACCTTATATATTTTAAAACTGAGCATATTAATTCCTCATTACTCCTGTGCTGATATCCTCTTCTGTCGCTGCCTCCCAGTAGATCTGTGTCTGGATTCTGGGTAATTATAACTTGGTAGACCTGACAGTAATATTTAATATATGGCAAATACATAAGTGTTTTAAAGTCATCAAATTATTAGCGCAGAAAGAAAGTTCTGAGATTGGAAATAAAATCAATAGTTTCAACAAAACTGTGAAATTACTCTCCAAATATCTGTATAGATATATAATAGCTATATCTATATATATAGATGGATAGATTCTATATATAGGAAGAGAGAGAGAGATTTTATCTCAAAACAAGCTAGATGGTGGATCTGTAGAATAGACTGAAACAGGTACATGAAGTGATAAACGAAGCTGAGTCTGTGGCCCCACTGAGGTCTGGACCCACACACAGGTCAAGATAGCAGAAAGTTCTTTTACTGTGATGTAATGAAGACCCCACACAATCTGGGGAACCTACATCAAGCTTAGTTCTTGACACAAGTATCTGGGAAGTTGTTTCCTGTTCCCTGCCTTCCGCTCCCACTGTTCTTTGAAAAGAGTATGAAAATAGGTGCTTTAAATTACTTGGGATCATAGTTCATAGGATAACGTATGTTTTGAGAGGCAGGAAGAAGGGCATTCAGACTTGAAGCAAACCCAAAATCCAACTCAGATACTGGGTGTCTCACATTTCTGCATGAATAACAAGAATGTTTGTAAAATGAACATCCTTGGGAGATAGAGATAGCATCTCTTTCTGAAGCCCTTGTCATGTTTGCTTATTCTTCAGTGTAATAAATATAACATATTCCTCCAGGACAAAAGTAGAACACATTTGCTTGCTGCAGATTAGAAAATATGTGAGTTCTCTAAGCTTGGGTAACCCAGTCTCTTGCATGTACAGGCATTGCCTATCCCTCTTTGTTTTATCCTGTGGGAATTGGAGCTCATAGACCTGGTGCAAATGATGTTATTCTGGATATTGCTACTTCTGTTAGTAATTATGTTCTTTGTCTTTAGCCCAGGAACCTTGTGTCTTCTGACCGCATCTATGAAACTGTGGCAGGCTGACTTTTAACTTGCAGATATAGTAAGCTCTCAGACTCTTCACAGTTGTAGGCATTGTTAAAAGATTGAGATAAGTCTCTATGAAACGATGTGGAAAGATCTCCAAGACATATTGCTAGGGGAAAAAAATCTCAAAACTACATATGCATATATGAATACATACACATGTTTTATATATATATATATATAATCATATGTACATATATACGCACGAGCACATATGAATATACACACACTATAAACCCATTCTTGAACTCAACGCACACAAATAAGTATGTAAATATTAAAAGAAATTTCCGGAAGAATGTGCACCGAATAATTACAGATGATTACTTATCTACCAGAAGAGAAACGTGAATGGGCATTTGGGTTGGAGATGAGTGGGGCAATGAATCGGATATTGAGGAGAACAGAGTTCAAGCAGTTGGCTCAGGATACGTTCAGTCTCTTTGCCAATGGAGAGGACCTCTGGTTTCAAGAAAGTAAGGAGAAGTAGTTTGATCTAATCTCCTTGTCAGCTGGACTTCCATGCAAATAGACTAATAATATTAGCTAGGAATAAGAGACCTTATTCACAGAACTCTCTTAGCAGGCCCTGAGGAAGGGATTATTTATAATAAATGTATCCATATATAATAAATACATCCAAATAAATCTATGGATTTATGAGGCATGACTTCTAGGAGAATGTCCCATAAATTGTAGAACTTTCTTGGGTTAAAAAAAAATGGAAATGTCATATCATTTAAATGCTTCTGACTGTATCAAGTGACCCTGCACGACCTTACTTGGAAGCCTCATATGACTCTGGGTCAAAGACAATATGCGCAATCTAAAAAGAAGGACCCAAGGAGCCACACAGGAGTCTCAGAACTTTCTGCTTTATCTGTGCTTCTAGATTGAGGATAACTTTAAAATTATTTGTCAAGCTTAATACTGGGTGTGATGTCGGATTTGTGTGAGACTGCTTTGATAATTCAATACTACATCCACCAACACACTACTTCCCTGACCACCACTACACAACCCATACATTTTGATTATTCTTGACAAAGTCATCAAAAATACAATAAGCCCTTTTCAGTACATTCTATATATTTGCCTAATTAAAACTATATTTGCAATTTTTTCTTGGATTCTATGATACTGTTTCTTTATGGGTATTATTCCACCTTCTAACAACTCTACATTTAATGAGCACGAGCATTTACTTTTTTTTTTTTTTTTTTTTTTTTTTTTTTTTTGAGACGGAGTCTCGCTCTGTCGCCCAGGCGGGAGTGCAGTGGCGCGATCTTGGCTCACTGCAAGCTCAGCCTCCCGGGTTCATGCCATTCTCCTGCCTCAGCCTCCCGAGTAGCTGGGACTACAGGCGCCCACCACCAAGCCCGGCTAATGTTTTGTATTTTTAGTAGAGACAGAGTTTCACCGTGTTAGCCAGGATGGTCTCAAACTTCTGACCTCATGATCCACCCGCCTCGGCCTCCCAAAGAGCTGGGATTACAGATGTGAGCCACCGCGCCAGGCCTAATGAGCATTTACTTTATCCTTGGTATTTAGCACGTATTTCCTATTTTATGCTCACAACACCCCCATAATATGTGTTATTATTTCCATTTTATCCCTCTTTCAGAGGAGCATAATGAGGCTCAGAGAATGCAGTCATGTGCCCAAATTCACACAGACAGTGCATTATAGAGCCCAGATCAAACCCAATCCTTTATGATTCCAAAGCCTGGGCACTTACTTCTTTCCTCATTTTGTCTCTGACTCTTAAATGTTTTCCCAAAATTTCTTTTCTTACACTTCTATGCCTGCTCCAAATTTATATTCTTAAGCCATTCTGGATCAACAGCCACTTTGAAAGCTTGAAGAAAATGATGGACTTATTTCCCAGAAAAGTGCATATAGAAATAAATACAAACCCATTTCATACTTTCTATGACTTTACAGTGAAATCTGGCCATGAAAAGAGGTGCCGGTCTATGTGTTTACTCTAGTGATCTCATCAAGTCTAGTAGCTTCAACAAGCACCTGTTTGTGGTTGCCTTTTATAGCAAATGCATCTAATGCCCTGACACACCTCTTAGCGCTCTAAGAGTGCTACCTCTGTTTCAGCTGTGGATAGCATTGATAGTCCCCTGAGGGCTTGCCGATAAAATCTAGCATCAAGTAACCCCTTACTAATGTTCTGCATCAAGAGTTCTAGCTCAGACCACCGTGGAATCCAGTTTGGCCAGAGTAAGTGCAGCTTAGCAATGTGGGATCTTACCACTGGGAGCAATGTCAGGCAATGGAGTAGGAGTTTCCGGATTAATGTCCCTACTTCCTATCCTTTAGGTGCACATTTCTGGGAAATATTGTGTGTCTTCTCAGTGGTGGAGCCCCACTACCCACAGTGACAACCTCAATGACACTCAACCTGGCTTTTCCTCCTTATCTGTCTCCCTCTTCCTGCTCCCTCATTCCTGCTCTCGAGATCACTTCCCAAATAAACTAAATGTGAATTCTTGCTTCAGACTCCTCTTTCAGGCCAACCCCATCCAAGCTAAAACAATTCTCAAATTCACTTTTCTACTACTGACCTCTCTTTTAAGGTACCATCCAGCATGTCAAACTGCATGAATAATTTAACTTTCATGTTGTATGGGGCCTTCATTCTTAGCACATTCCATTCATCTAATGTCCCTTATCTTGGTTAGTGACATCATTATAAGGAAGTTCTTCAAGATTAAAAAAAAAAAAAAAAAAAAAAAACTTTGGTGTTGTCCTTGACTCTTTCTCATTCTCTTTGACCATCAGTTATCTCCCATATGTCTCATTTCACCCACCCTCCTCCTTTCCCCACTGCCCTAGCCTTAGCCTTGAGTTCGAGACAATCACTTACCTCTCTATACTAACAGCCTCATAATCTGGTCTCACTTTCTCCCTTGCCTCTCCCTCATTTCCAGTATCTTCCACTCTATTTGCCTAATGATCTCTCTAAAACACAAATCTGAAACTGCACTTCTGGCTTTAAATTATTCCAGAGAGAACAAAATATGAGTTACTTGGCATGGTATAAAAATTTTAAAAACCTTCTCAATGTAGCCACAGTTTATTTTCAGTTTCATCTTCCACTTTGTCCTTATTGTAGAAGTTGTTTTTCAGCCACATTGAACATCCCCTGGTCTTAAAACAAGTTTGTGCTCTTCACCACTTCATGTATTTGTAGTAGATGCTATTCCTTCTGCCTGAACAATCCTCTCTCGTGTCTGCCTGAAATCATTTTTCAAGAACTAACTCAAATAACATTTCCATCATAATTCTTGCTCCTCTCAAGCTTTGGTCTTCTGCAATCCCGTATGATTTTCACATTTCTCTGTCTTCTCACAATGTATTTTAACATTTGTTCACTTTGTTATTTCCCTGAGTCTACTGTGTGCTCCATAAATGCTGCAATGTTGACTTATCTTGTCTTCCCAGTGCCTAGAAAAAAGTGGCTGCTTAAAAACTATGTGCCAAACTCAATTGAAAGGTACAGAGAATGTCAAGAGGGAAGTAGATATTGAAGAAAGGCACAGGGAAAGAATGATCAACTGGGGAGAACTTATTTATAAACAGACAATTTGGGAGAAGTAAAGAGTGGTGAATGAAAACGGAGCTCAAATATAAAAGGAAAGTCAGAAGTCGTAAGAAAAATGTCCACACCCAGAATGCAAAGAGAAGAGTAATACACATGGCACAGACAGATGCTCAGGTCCAGAGATGTAGCCGTAATTTAAAAACAAAACTTGTCCTGCTGGTGATTAATGTTAAATTTCCAAAGTATTGCTGCTATTTATACAAACTGCTATATTCTTAGGGTTAATTTAGCTTAATATTTCAAATTATTCTTTAAAAATTATTGTGCACACAAAGGCATTATGTGTGCAATAATATTAAGTTATTGGAATGTTATTTCCTATTTTGAAAGGTTTTATAAATTGCAATTTCTCTCTTAGGAAACTTGGTGCTCCAGGCTTGTGTGTCAGAAAGAATGTTGAGCATCCGTTTCTGAGTTTCTCATATTTTGCCTTATTTA
Organism: Homo sapiens; assembly: GCF_000001405.40. Taxonomy (NCBI): domain Eukaryota; kingdom Metazoa; phylum Chordata; class Mammalia; order Primates; family Hominidae; genus Homo; species Homo sapiens. The sequence continues at coordinate 115,036,401 of NC_000007.14, read as the reverse complement.
AAAGCCAGAGGTGGAACCCCAGGAATAGTGGTATTAGGCTGCAAAAAGTCTCTGAAACTTTCACAAATAAAAAACTCAACATGCTTTATCATATAAGTAACTTTAGAAGAAATCGTTTTGATGTATAGTGTTAATTCCCCTCCCCAGACTGTACTACACAAATAGATAAGATTTGAAATCTTTTTTTGATTTCAATATAGAAGATATGTTGGAAAGATGCCAAATTTATTATGATGTCCCTACATTCTGAATTCATATGAAAAAGGATTTTCCAGAGTTCTAATAAAAATAATATTTTCCCAACAGTGCACTGATCCTTTTCTGTTGTTCTGCAGTGATGTGATAGTCTATTGTGTCACAATTCGATGTTCTACAAATCCTTTGGCTTAAACACTGTCAATGGTTTCTGTTAATGTTTTCTTAGTATATTATAATTGTATTTATCTGTTCTCTACCTGTCCATGTTTTCTGTTAATCTGAGCTATTTTTCCATGGGTTTCCCCTCTTGGGAGGAGACAACTATATTCCTCATGACTATATTATATTCAGATTTTGCTACAGGAGTGTCAGCGAACTTCTTCAGAATGTTCTTCCAGGATATAGGTGGTTACATCAAACAAGGAGATGAGATAGATAGATAGATGATAGATAGATAGATAGATAGATAGATAGATAGATAGATAGATGATAGACAGATAGATAGGTAGATAGATAGATAGATAGATAGATAGATCTCCTATATCCTAATTACGTGTGTGTGTATGTCTTTGTATCAGTACACCATTAACAGTTTATTATTTTGTGGAATCTCTTTATACTTAGCTCACCAGCATATAATAAAATAATATACTTAGCTCACCAGCATATAATAAAAATCTGTACTTCTAGCTGAGTTGGAAGCAACCAGAAGATACAAAATGCAAACTGGAAAACGACATCAACATAATTTTTAAACTAAGGGAATGTTGTTGACATGTTGCATATATAAACATAAAAAGTGATTGTAGGATTTTTATTATTCTCCTTTGATGAGGTTCAATGTAGGATATTAGTTTTTCTTTTGCTGGAGTTTTTTACGTACATATATACACCAGTTTCTCCCATTACCTTGTAAGATTTCCTGGACCATAAACTATCCCTGAGAATTGATTCCACACTCCCTCAGATATGACTTTTCATAAGCCAAGTCCTTTAAAAATACATTTCATATATTTCTCAGACTACATGTCAAATCAGTATCATGCAAACATAATACTTTTACTACTTTCTTAGAGCATGGTGTTGAGAGGAAAAAATTTAATATATCTGTGAGACATCTACATTAATGCAATGGTGCAATATTGAAACTGCTTTTATCTGCCACATTTCTCAAATGAAAGCGGCAGCTAAATTTTATGGTAGTTAAACTGTGAAGCTTGCTCACAATCTTGCCTATGTGGATGTAGCCCTTTGGTATTATTAAGGCAGTAGTCTTTATTCTGCATCTTAGACTTTAAAAGTTGCTATGGATATAAGAAGCCTATCATGTGGTCATGTCTACACCGTAAAATCTTTCCAAAGTGTGCAGCAAATTCTTGATAGAATTCACAGGTGTTTCAAGAAATTAGAGTAAAATTTCATCTGGCATTGCCACAGTGCACTGTAGAGGAGACAGTGATCTAGCAAGGCTCCCAGAGACACTGGAATTCAATGTGTTACTAGTTCCTGCGTGAGTTTGGAACAATCTGCCTGTTGTTTGCCTCTCCTGCTGTCTCCCTTGTAATAACCTTGTACTTCACACACAAGCAAAGTGTACCTTCCACTATTTGAACAACAACAAAAAAGGCTATAATTCAGTATTTTGAGGTAAATATAGCCTTTATTAGTTATTAGGCTAATTATTTCAGAGGAGTATACCATTAGCAGAAAAATGGGCTACAGGTAAGCAACTTCCCATGCAAATATGTTTAAGTGGCTTGGAAAGGGATTATGTTTTAAATATCCTTATACTTTTATGTAAATTGAGTATGCTAGAATCCTTGCTGTGATGCTGATAAACTCCTTTCATCAACCACAGTGAACAATATCTTTTCTTTAGCTGTCCTGATTAAATGAGTGACATTCACTATTGGTAAATCCCCCACAGAGTAACTCAAGCTCACATGTGCCTAGCCACAATACCAGTAATGACATGATTCTGAGGGGATTTGAAACCCTACCTCAACAAATTTATTTCTGTTTTTCAACATATATTCAAAGCAATACTTTGGCATTGTAATGTGATTCTTGACAGGGCTAAGGTAAATTCATCATGCTAAACTGAAATGTTTCTGGCAGATGTCTACTCCATAACAATCAAATTTTGTGTACTGTAATATATGACAACCACAGTGTTACTTCTACTTGTAAAACTTACAAGTATAATACTTTATTAATGCAAACCTGGAATGTAATTATGCAATATGTTATCGTGCCATATTTTTTTCATTTAGAAAAAACTTCTTGAGGACAGTCTGACAACTTATAAATAATGGGAATTTTTAAATGAATATAGAAAGGATATAACTTTTTTATCACAAAGATATTCTGGCATTTTGATACTTTTCAAAATTGTATATTTGTTGAAATTTAAGAGAGCATAAAAGTGAAATGTTTTCTCTTATTAAATATTAACTTTGGTCCCCATGGAAATGGTTATTTGTCAGAGATGGATGCTCTTCTTTGAAGAAGAAATAATTAAAATGCCACCACTGAGTATTGAAATATTTTAAAAATAGATAGATTTTGTGATAACCTCTGCCTAAATATCTGCATTATCTATGTATTTAGTACAATTCATCATATTTTAGGACTAAGAGCCTAAAAATATTTGCTTGAGAGAAAATGTAATCCAAATGAATGGCGACCTTTTGACTTCACTACAAATGGAAAGCCTCAGCCATTATTCCTTTTAGTCTGTGGCATTCACTCAACACAAAAACACTCATGGAATCAGAATATAAAACCTTTCAAGATTCTGGTTAAATTTAAGATTTTATATTATGGTTTGGATTCCCATTGCCTTGTCTCCCATGCTTTCAACAATTATTTCAAAATAAATATTTGCAAGAACAGATGAAATCTCTTTATTCCTATTTGATGATCTAGTTGCCAGATGCAAATTGAACATCTGCCTGGGAAGCTGCCTTGTGATTTCCTTTAAGTATCATCCTCTACCACTAGAGACAGAAATAATCCATGTGGCTTGCTTTTGCCCTGGTGGCTCCTCTTCTCTCTTATTTTTCTTAGTAAGCACCGTATTTTAAAGACCTTGAAATTTCACTTGTATTCCCAATGCAAATTTAAATATTTACATTTTAGCATAATTATTTAAAAAAAAAACAAACTTTCATCCCATGACCCTTTTGTAATTTATTGTGAAAATAAAACTGTTAAAGCATGTTTGGATCATTTTATTCGGCCTAAGAAAACAAAATGTGTGATGCACATAATTTATGACAAATTAGGCAATCTCTTGGGGCCAGTAAACACCCTCCCAGACTAACACAAAATTTGGAACATGCCCAACTGAGAATTTGAATCAGGTTGTGTAAAAAGACAAAGGCTGGCAAAAATATAATTTTGGAAAATTTACTCACTAATTGCAGAGCTGCTGGAGGCCAACCGAAGAGATTTGGATCATACAGTACCTAAGACTTACGATGGAACTGAACTTCTTCATTAAGCAAGTTAAAAATCAATTAGCAATCAGTTGATTTAGTTAAAAATGGTCAAGTCAGTGTGTGCATATAGTTTGGTGGAAATTTTTTCTCTCTTTCAATTATTATGCTTGCAATTGTCATGCAATATGCATCTTAGGACTACATATCCAATTGTTCACATTATTTAGGTTATTCATACTGTAATATGCATATATATTTACCCATTCATTCACTTAAAAACCAACAAATATATAATTGAACATCTCTTACATACCAGGCACTCTGGATATGCCTTGTCCATCTCTCCTTGGCTCCTTGTGTTTCTCTCACTTCTGCTTACTGCACCGTTTGGCTAACATGCAACACTGGCATACTAGGATACTGGAAGATTTTACTCTGGTATTTATCTTACTAGTTCATCCACCTAAGCACCACATATACTACCACAGTCATCATGTATACCCTAATAGGAATTATGATGAAAGTTCCTAATGTTAGTGAAACTGCCTGTGAATCACTTTCAAATCCATTGCATTGCTTAAGGAAAATACAACATTTGTGACCTGAAACATGAATGTACTTCATAACTTCTACGAACTTGACTTTTATTTAACATTCAGACAGTCAGTTTGTATGCAAACACTGGGCACATTTAATATGTTCATTCACCTAGGATAGTCTTTCAATATCCTTCCAGAAAGGTATTACTTCAGTTCCCTCTCACCCGTCTGTTCCTACAGCCAATGTGTTAAATCAGGTCCTCACCATCTTTTGTGTTTGTAAATGAATGGAAAACCTTTCAACTGCCTATCCAAGTTCATTCTTCATCTCCTCGAGTTCATCATCCATACTGCTGCCCCCATAAAAATGTGATCAAAATATAAATTTGATCTCACCATTTCCTTGATTCAAATCTTCAGAAGGCTTCGTATCACCTACAAGACAAAATTGGGAACCTTCAGCAAGGTGTTTAAGGTGCTGCCTCACTGGACTCAGTTCTGCTTTTTCCCATCGCTCCCTACTCTCCATCCTGCTGCAACATAACTGTAAATACACAAGGCATGTATAAATAATGCATGGATGAAAACTTCTCCAAATCCAAGTTTGAATGCTTCCTCTTCTGAGAAAATTTCCTGATTCTCCTAGGGAGACTTAGTCACTCTCACTTCTCAACTCTCATTGCAATTATACTTGTTTCTATTCCAACCATTTAATGTTATTGAATTAATGTGCATTCTGTCCCTTTAGGCCAGGCGTAGTGGCTCACACCTGTAATCCCAGCACTTCGGGAGGTCGAGGTGGGTGGATCACTTGAGTTCAGGAGTTCAAAACCAGTCTGGCCAACATACTGAAACCCTGTCTCTACTAAAAATACAAAAAATAGCTGATGTGGGGGCACACACCTGTAATTCCAGCTACCCAGGAGGCTGAGGCAGGAGAATTGCTTGAACCCTGGAGGTGGAGGCTGCAGTGAGCTGAGATTGCACCACTGCACTCCAGCCTGGGTGACAGAGCAAGACTCCGTCTCAAAAAAAAAAAAAAAAAAAAAAAAGTAGTGAGTTTTCTAACTTAGGATTGAACTATGTGTTTAAGATCTGATAACGGGGAGGGAGGAGCCAAGATGGCCGAATAGGAACAGCTCCGGTCTACAGCTCCCAGCCTGAGCCACGCAGAAGACAGGTGATTTCTGCACTTCTATCTGAGATACCGGGTTCATCTCACTAGGGAGTGCCAGACAGTGGGCGCAGGTCAGTGGGTGCAGTGCACCGTGCGCGAGCCGAAGCAGGGCGAGGCATTGCCTCACTGGGGAAGCACAAGGGGTCAGGGAGTTCCCTTTCCCAGTCAAAGAAAGGGGTGACAGACGGCACCTGGAAAATCGGGTCACTGCCACCCGAATACTGTGCTTTTCCGACGGGCTTAAAAAACAGCACACCACGAGATTATATCGCGCACCTGGCTCGGAGGGTCCTACGCCCACGGAGTCCCGCTGATTGCTAGCACAGCAGTCTGAGATCAACCTGCAAGGCGGCAGCGAGGCTGGGGTAGGGGCACCCGCCATTGCCCAGGCTTGCTTAGGTAAATAAAGCAGCCGGGAAGCTCGAACTGGGTGGAGCCCACCAGAGCTCAAGGAGGCCTGCCTGCCTCTGTAGGCTCCACCTCTGGGGGCAGGGCACAGACAAACAAAAAGACAGCAGTAACCTCTGCAGACTTAAATGTCCCTGTCTGACAGCTTTGAAGAGAGCAGTGGTTCTCCCAGCACGCAGCTGGAGATCTGAGAATGGGCAGACGGCCTCCTCAAGTGGGTCCCTGACCCCTGACCCCCGAGCAGCCTAACTGGGAGGCACCCCCCAGCAGGGGCACACTGACACCTCACACGGCAGGGTATTCCAACAGACCTGCAGCTGAGGGTCCTGTCTGTTAGAAGGAAAACTAATAAACAGAAAGGACATCCACACCAAAAACCCATCTGTACATCACCATCATCAAAGACCAAAAGTAGATAAAACCACAAAGATGGGGAAAAAACAGAACAGAAAAACTGGAAACTCTAAAAAGCAGAGTGCCTCTCCTCCTCCAAAGGAACGCAGTTCCTCACCAGCAACGGAAAAAAGCTGGATGGAGAATGACTTTGACGAGCTGAGAGAAGAAGGCTTCAGACGATCCAATTACTCTGAGCTACGGGAGGACATTCAAACCAAAGGCAAAGAAGTTGAAAACTTTGAAAAAAATTTAGAAGAATGTATAACTAGAATAACCAATACAGAGAAGTGCTTAACGGAGCTGATGGAGCTGAAAACCAAGGCTCGAGAACTACGTGAAGAATACAGAAGCCTTAGGGGCTGATGTGATCAACTGGAAGAAAGGGTATCAGCAATGGAAGATGAAATGAATGAAATGAAGTGAGAAGGGAAGTTTAGAGAAAAAAGAATAAAAAGAAATGAGCAAAGCCTCCAAGAAATATGAGACTATGTGAAAAGACCAAATCTACGTCTGATTGGTGTACCTGAAAGTGATGGGGAGAATGGAACCAAGTTGGAAAACACTCTGCAGGATATTATCCAGGAGAACTTCCCCAATCTAGCAAGGCAGGCCAACGTTCAGATTAAGGAAATACAGAGAACGCCACAAAGATACTCCTCGAGAAGAGCAACTCCAAGACACATAATTGTCAGATTCACCAAAGTTGAAATGAAGGAAAAAATGTTAAGGGCAGCCAGAGAGAAAGGTCGGGTTACCCTCAAAGGGAAGCCCATCAGACTAACAGCGGATCTCTCGGCAGAAACCCTACAAGCCAGAAGAGAGTGGGGGTCAATATTCAACATTCTTAAAGAAAAAAATTTTCAACCCAGAATTTCATATCCAGCCAAACTAAACTTCATAAGCAAAGGAGAAATAAAATACTTTACAGAAAAGCAAATGCTGAGAGATTTTGTCACCACCAGACCTGCCCTAAAAGAGCTCCTGAAGGAAGCGCTAAACATGGAAAGGAACAACCAGTACCAGCTGCTGCAAAATCATGCCAAAATGTAAAGACCATCAAGACTAGGAAGAAACTGCATCAACTAACAAGCAAAATAACCAGCTAACATCATAATGACAGGATCAAATTCACACATAACAATATTAACTTTAAATGTAAATGGACTAAATGCTCCAATTAAAAGACACGGACTGGCAAATTGGATAAAGAGTCAAGACCCATCAGTGTGCTGTATTCAGGAAACCCATCTCACGTGCAGAGACACACATAGGCTCAAAATAAAAGGATGGAGGAAGATCTACCAAGCAAATGGAAAACAAAAAAAGGCAGGGGTTGCAATCCTAGTCTCTGATAAAACAGACTTTAAACCAACAAAGATCAAAAGAGACAAAGAAGGCCATTACATAATGGTAAAGGGATCAATTCAACAAGAAGAGCTAACTATCCCAAATATATATGCACCCAATACAGGAGCACCCAGATTCATAAAGCAAGTCCTGAGTGACCTACAAAGAGATTTAGACTCCCACACATTAATAATGGGAGACTTTAACACCCCACTGTCAACATTAGGCAGATCAACGAGACAGAAAGTCAACAAGGATACCCAGGAATTGAACTCAGCTCTGCACCAAGCAGACCTAATAGACATCTACAGAACTCTCCACCCCAAATCAACAGAATATACATTTTTTTCAGCACCACACCACACCTATTCCAAAATTGACCACATACTTGGAAGTAAAGCACTCCTCAGCAAATGTAAAAAACAGAAATTATAACAAACTATCTCTCAGACCACAGCGCAATCAAACTAGAACTCAGGATTAAGAATCTCACTCAAAACTGCTCAACTACATGGAAACTGAACAACCTGCTCCTGAATGACCACTGGGTACATAACGAAATGAAGGCAGAAATAAAGATGTTCTTTGAAACCAACGAGAACAAAGACACAACATACCAGAATCTCTGGGACACATTTAAAGCAGTGTGTAGAGAGAAATCTATAGCACTAAATGCCCACAAGAGAAGCAGGAAACATCTAAAATTGACACCCTAACATCACAATTAAAAGAACTAGAGAAGCAAGAGCAAACACATTCAAAAGCTAGTAGAAGGAAAGAAATAACTAAAATCAGAGCAGAACTGAAGGAAATAGAGACACAAAAAACCCTTCAAAAAATTAATGAATCCAGGAGCTGGTTTTTTGAAAGGATCAACAAAATTGATAGACTGCTAGCAAGACTAATAAAGAAAAAAAGAGAGAAGAATCAAATAGACGCAATAAAAAATGATAAAGGGGATATCACCACCGATCCCACAGAAATACAAACTACCATCAGAGAATACTATAAACACCTCTACGCAAATAAACTAGAAAATCTAGAAGAAATGGATACATTCCTCGACACATACACTCTCCCAAGACTAAACCAGGAAGAAGTTGAATCTCTGAATAGACCAATAACAGGATCTGAAATTGTGGCAATAATCAATAGCTTACCAACCAAAAAGAGTCCAGGACCAGATGGATTCACAGCTGAATTCTACCAGAGGTACAAGGAGGAACTGGTCCCATTCCTTCTGAAACTATTCCAATCAGTAGAAAAAGAGGGAATCCTCCCTAACTCATTTTATGAGGCCAGCATCATTCTGATACCAAAGCCAGGCAGAGACACAACAAAAAAAGAGAATTTTAGACCAATAACATTGATGCAAAAATCCCCAATAAAATACTGGCAAAATGAATCCAGCAGCACATCAAAAAGCTTATCCACCATGATCAAGTGGGCTTCATCCCTGGGATGCAAGGCTGGTTCAATATACGCAAATCAATAAGTGTAATCCAGCATATAAACAGAGCCAAAGACAAAAACCACATGATTATCTCAATAGATGCAGAAAAAGACTTTGACAAAATACAACAACCCTTCATGCTAAAAACTCTCAATAGATTAGGTATTGATGGGACGTATTTCAAAATAATAAGAGCTATCTATGACAAACCCACAGCCAATATCATACTGAATGGGCAAAATCTGGAAACATTCCCTTTGAAAACTGGCACAAGACAGGGATGCCCTCTCTCACCACTCCTATTCAACATAGTGTTGGAAGTTCTGGCCAGGGCAATTAGGCAGGAGAAGGAAATAAAGGGTACTCAATTAGGAAAAGAGGAAGTCAAATTGTCCCTGTTTGCAGACGACATGATTGTGTATCTAGAAAACCCCATTGTCTCAGCCCAAAATCTCCTTAAGCTGATAAGCAACTTCAGCAAAGTCTCAGGATACAAAATCAATGTATAAAAATCACAAGCATTCTTATACACCAACAACAGACAAACAGAGAGCCAAATCATGAGTGAACTCCCATTCACAATTGCTTCAAAGAGAATAAAATACCTAGGAATCCAGCTTACAAGGGATGTGAAGGAACTCTTCAAGGAGAACTACAAACCACTGCTCAAGGAAATAAAAGAGGATACTAACAAATGGAAGAACATTCCATACTCATGGGTAGGAAGAATCAATATCGTGAAAATGGCCATACTGCCCAAGGTAATTTACAGATTCAATGCCATCCTCATCAAGCTACCAATGCCTTTCTTCACAGAATTGGAAAAAACTACTTTAAAGTTCATATGGAACCAAAAAAGAGCCCGCATCACCAAGTCAATCCTAAGCCAAAAGAACAAAGCTGGAGGCATCACACTACCTGACTTCAAACTATACTACAAGGCTACATTAACCAAAACAGCATGGTACTGGTACCAAAACAGAGATATAGATCAATGGAACAGAACAGAGCCCTCAGAAATAACGCCGCATATCTACAACTATCTGATCTTTGACAAACCTGAGAAAAACAAGCAATGGGGAAAGGATTCCCTATTTAATAAATGGTGCTGGGAAAACTGGCTAGCCATATGTAGAAAGCTGAAACTGGATCCCTTCCTTACACCTTATACAAAAATCAATTCAAGATGGATTAAAGACTTAAACGTTAGACCTAAAACCATAAAAACCCTAAAAGAAAACCTAGGCATTACCATTCAGGACATAGACATGGGCAAGGACTTCATGTCTAAAACACCAAAAGCAATGGCAACAAAAGACAAAATTGACAAATGGGATCTAATTAAACTAAAGAGCTTCTGCACAGCAAAAGAAACTACCATCAGAGTGAACAGACAACCTACAAAATGGGAGAAAATTTTTGCAACCTACTCATCTGACAAAGGGCTAATATCCAGAATCTACAATGAACTCAAACAAATTTACAAGAAAAAACAAACAACCCCATCAAAAAGTGGGCGAAGGACATGAACAGACACTTCTCAAAAGAAGACATTTATGCAGCCAAAAAACACATGAAAAAATGCTCATCATCACTGGCCATCAGAGAAATGCAAATCAAAACCACAATGAGATACCATCCACACCAGTTAGAATGGCAATCATTAAAATGTCAGGAAACAACAGATGCTGGAGAGGATGTGGAGAAATAGGAACACTTTTACACTGTTGGTGGGACTGTAAACTAGTTCAACCATTGTGGAAGTCAGTGTGGCGATTCCTCAGGGATCTAGAACTGGAAATACCATTTGACCCAGCCATCCCATTACTGGGTATATACCCAAAGGACTATAAATCATGCTGCTATAAAGACACATGCACACGTATGTTTATTGCGGCATTATTCACAATAGCAAAGACTTGGAACCAACCCAAATGTCTAACAATGATAGACTGGATTAAAAAAATGTGGCACATATACACCATGGAATACTATGCAGCCATAAAAAATGATGAGTTCATGTCCTTTGTAGGGACATGGATGAAATTGGAAATCATCATTCTCAGTAAACTATCGCAAGAACAAAAAACCAAACCGCATATTCTCACTCATAGGTGGGGATTGAACAATGAGATCACATGGACACAGGAAGGGGAATATCACACTCTGGGGACTGTTGTGGTCGTGGGGGGAGGGGGGAGGGATAGCATTGGGAGATATACCTAATGCTAGATGACAAGTTAGTGGGTGCAGCACACCAGCACGGCACATGTATACATATGTAACTTACCTGCACAATGTGCACATGTACCCTAAAACTTAAAGTATAATAATAATAATAATAATAATAATAATAATAATAAAGATCTGATAACAGACCCACCTTACTTTAGAAATGTTTGGTGCCAAAGGCATATAGATGCCATGTTAACTTTTAACAATTGGGTACATTTATATAGAATCCCCAAATATGGCATTTCTGGGTGGATCTGTAAGCTGTAAGCTAAGATTTCTCTATGGGTATATTTATGTTGATAGTGATACTGAGTCATTTTAGGTTGTGGGAAATAAAGGAAAATGTCATCACCTTTGGGGATCCTAAAGCCTTGTAACTCGACCATAAGCTTTGTATCACCCATGGTAATGATACCCTCTTTCTTTCCCTGTCCCCTACCCCCAGATTGTTACATTGTCAAATGTTAACAAGGAGGATATGTAGGCATTGAACTAAAACTATTAAGTTTCTGGAGTGTCTAGTGTAGTTCTTGTATTATTGTATTATTATATTTGAGTAACTGTCAATGTTAAACAGACACAAATATACAAGATACCCCAGGATTTATATTTTCATAAATCTTAGAAATACATGATAACAAGATTGAACTCAGACATGTGCGTCTGCACACAAACAAGATCGCTTTTTCTCACTACCTCATTATTCAAAGTACTGACAGGAAACAGATGGCTCCCTCATAGGGTTTAATTGAAGGGAGATTAATAAAAGGGACTGTTAGCAGAGAAACAATCAGTTGTAAGAAGACCAGCAAAGGAGTTTAAAGTTCCAGGAACTAACAACATTGGAAAACCTCTGCTTCTCCAAGCCTGAAGAGGTACCAGGAGAGAGCTGTAGCTGTGGGAGAGGGGCCGTTGCACAGGAAACCCTAATGTGGAGGAACAGAGCTACTATCAAACACTGTCTGGAAGGAACAGGGGCAAGGGTGGGGTGGGAATTAATACCTTGACTTCTCTCCCATCTTTTGATTTCCCACCAGTGCCTACCATCAGCCAAAGCCAACTGGAAATCAGAAAGCAAGACACCCTGGCACAAAATCAGGCAGAAAGAGAAAACTGATCTGAGGGTGGTAAATGGAAAATGAATGACACCTAATCTTATGAAGAACATCTAACTCTTGATTCTTCATCCACCCAAAAACAATGGACATCATTGATAAGTAGGCACAGAACAGTAACACATTGTGAGTTCATTGACTTTTGGGTCAATGCATGCCATGAAAGATAAGTAGTACAGTAGCTATGAATTTTATTCGCCCTTAGAGCCCAAGTCATGATACCCACTCAAGGTAGGAAAGATGGGAGACAAGAAACAAGACAGGCAAGACTTCAGATCCGCGTGTTTCCATCCCAGCTTCAAGCCAAGCTGTTTTGATTGAATCTATTTATTATATTTGGTAATATGTAAAATTACATAAGAAATATACCCGTCTAATGGAAAGATCCAGAAATAGAAATTAGGTTTCCTAGGTCTATTGGTAACTAACAATGTTACTTTAAAAAGTAAACTTAAGCAATCTGTCCCAGTTTTTTCCTCTGTAAAATGGAAGTTAAAACGTCTATCCTAGAAGAATCACAGTTTTGTGAAGATCAAATGAGAAAACGGATACGGTTTTCTTCTGAAAAGTTAAACAAGCTCTACAAATGTCAGCCCTATCACTTTTGCTATCTCCTAAAGCTGTCCCTGAGTGTAAGCTGCCAATCACCACATCCTCTTTTTTGGGCTATCTTTCCTCTACACATGGAGCACTTCCCTCAACTCCAACTTAAACATCACACACAAAGGAAAGATAAGCAGCAAGAAAATCCAAATGCATTGGCAATACCACTGCATGTTAAAAAAAAGAACTAGATTCACGTTGAACTTCGTTTTTGTGGTGCATAACTCCCCTTTCCATAGGTCCTATTAACTTCAAAGGGAGCTCCGTGCATGTAAATGATTATATTTATTGGATGCGCCAACTCTTTCTTATCCTCTGGGCACAATTAGAAATATCATAGAAAAATGAATGTCAGAGACTTGGATCCATATTTGATATTCTATGGGAAATTCCCCACAGTTACAGATGTTAAAAATCCTGCCCAATGGTCCAGTTATAAATTTATAGTATTTCCTTTTCTATATCCTTGGAATTATTTCTCTCTGATTTCCTTTTTACATTAAAGGAAACATATTCCCTTCAGGTCCAGATAAACTAGTGATAAAACCTTGGCTTGTTGTACAGCTTGATGTAGTAATAAAAATTTAGACTGTGTAACCCGTCTCTTTCAAGAAACTGTTAGTGCTTCCCTGAGATTATCCCATTAATACTTACAGCAACTCTGTTCCTACTTTATGTTCACTCTGGGAACTGCTCTTAGAGTCAGTGTCCAGGAACTCAATTCTTGGATGTTCATTTTAATATCATATCCATTAAACCACACTGTAATTTCAGTGTTCCTTGTCAATTCAGGCCATTATCAAGATTTTTGATAGGTGGCTAATAAACAGCGTTCTCTAGTTGAAGTCGCCACAATAAATTAAAATTGTATGGAGCCCTGTGCTTTTCACACCAATTTGGTGTTTTTTTGCTTTAAATTTAGTAGTCTCATGGCTAACAGTGGAAGCATCTCTAGGACTGACTCTGACAACATAACGACCCCATCCAGTGCTATCAGTGAATATAAAGACCTTGGAAATGTTATAGACATGGCTCCTCAGCAATATTACATATTATATGTTTTATATATAATCTAAGGGTAGGTTAACTCTTTAGCTGCGTATTTTTTAAAGTGACAAAAAAGGAGAAAAATAGAAGAAACCTTTCAAATTAAATATTTAGAACTATTATAAAAGAGAAAATGTTACTATTAAATGATGAAAAACATTGCTGGAAATGTACCCACATCTGATGTATGGTTGGGAAGATACAAAGGCTTTTTAAAATAATGTTTTGATAAGCAATATGACTTACAAAAGATTCATTTTAACTAGTCTTACAGACAAATAAACCATATCAGATTAATTTGGACCCATTTTTAATTATTTGTAAAAAATAAGTAAGGGCAGTCTAATTGTTGTAAATATTTATAGAGCAAAACAATGCAAACTACATATAACAATCAAATTTCTAGCAAAAATGTGTGTAAGTAGGTTTATTTTGAAAGGAAAAGTCCTACTCCCAGTGTCATAACCAATTAAATTCTCCGGGTAATGACCCCATTTGCATAGCGAGCGGAACCCACAAGTGGGAATTTTAATGGGTACACCACCTGAGTACAGTAATTGAGAGTGACACAACTTGAACTAGTTTTGTGCTTACCCCACTGAAAATTCTACTCATATTATTTTTAATGTCAAGCTACAAGTCAAATTTCAAGATGATGGATTTGTTCTTTTTTAAGCACTGAGTTTGAATAAAAGAAATGCTTTAATTCTGTTATGCATTGCATATCTTTGCTTTAACTAATCTGTACTTCTGATTCTCACCATTGCTTCATTTTCTTCAGTGATTGGAATTTAATTTTATTCATTAATTTGTGAATAATTAGATAAAAAATAATGTCCTCAGCTGCTAAATTGCTTTTGGATTGCGATTTAATGTACTTTTACCAGAATATGTATTATAGTTAGGCTGGCATAACAGTTTACTAAAATGTAATTGTGTAAATATGCCCAATTATTCTTTTTGATGATCTAACAAAATCTAATATAATATGTATTCATGAGTATTTTACTCCTCCTTCACCTCAGCACCAATAAAACACAGTTTCTGCAGAGCTGATCAGAGACACCTTGTCATCTAAAGATGTTACTTTTAAAAGATATTCTCCTTATCTCTCAGGCACTATTCATGTCCTTGAAAGAATTGTGCATTCTGATTGAGGGAGCATATGACGTCCACATGAAATTATATAATAAAGGTGATTTCAAGACTCTAAAAGTCAAACACACACGATTAACTAGGTTTTGAGGTGACATTTTAAAACTTCTTTTGTTTCACTCTAAGATTGCTTGCGATCTAACTGTTTGTAGGTGTTTGACACCACTCTGCCACATCTGTAATTGGCATAGCATCCAGCAGACAGGCTCTGTACATCTTTACACTGCAACCTACCAAGTTAAGAAATGTATTGGTTCAATATAAAACAGCAGGCTGTTTTTAGACATAGTTACTAGTGCACAAGCTTTAATATGGCTTGGCTTCATCCTATAATGAGATCTTTTGGTTCCCTGCTCAACAGGCTTTTATTCCTTTGCAAAAGGCTATGAACTATGTCAAGTGGATCAGCTGCTTTTGTACACCCTCTTTCTTGGCTTTGGAGCATAATTCCTTTGCTTCTACCCCTTTATGCATCAGACAGAACTTAAGAACCTTTTCCATTTTTCAAGCTAAACTTAGAATTTGTTTGAATTTGCTTTTCACCATTTTCCTAATAATTACATTCTCAACTAAACCTCACACAAAGACCTGCCTGGAAGTGAACACCTAATTGCAGAGCTATACTTTGTCTTTAACACATATATCTATACCCCATGTTGGTAATGTGTCAAAGGATGGTTATCTGAAATGATTTCTTCATGGTCACCTCACAACTAAATTAATGCTTCCTTTTCAGTGAGCACTAAATGGAATGTGGTAAGGAATTGAGGGCATAAGCAGACAAACAAACAAACAATGGAAGCAGAACTACTAGCCACAGTTCAGTCAGAAGGCAGGAAGCTACTTAACTTGACATCTAGCTGCTTAAGTGTTATAGCTGAGGCTCTAGTGGAAAGTGTCATGCTATTATGACAGCTTGGTGAAGAATAGGTGGTGCAGATTCTGTTTGCATAGAGACATTGCTTTCCAGGTGGGGCTCCGCTGCGGCTTTATTTCATTTCCAGATTGTCTATTGTCTTCATAAAAATTTGGTCATAAATATGATATTTTGAGTTACAGTGTTTTAAAAGGGGCAGTCATTGTCCACTGAGAATTTTGCAATGTATGTAGAAGATTTAGTCACCAATGACAGTTTTTGCAACACCCACCCTCCATGTTAGGGCTGCATTACAATAGTATCCCCTCTCCACAACTTCTTCTATTTTAAACAAACTCTAAAAGCAATCTTAAATAAGGAAGTAAATACTGGCAGGTTCACCGTTGAAACTGTTTTCTCATGGGAGGTGCCAAACTTATTCCCTGGGTTGAAACTTCTTGAGGGTTATGTGACTTTCTTGAGGTGTCTAGTATCAATCCAAGCACAAAGAAAACACTCACTGCAATTTATTGTATAAGCATACGAAGATGAAGGGTTGAAAGGATTCTCTTTTAATACCCAATGCTTGATTATAAAAACTATAAATAGTAAGTGTGGAACAAACCCTATTAATATATTAACCATTGTTTAAAACAAAAATGATATGTTCTGTTGTATTAGTGCAAAAGAAAACAAAATGGATATTATAGTATTTGATGACATTTTCTGTTGCCAGTCAGATTAGATGCAACAATCCTACAGGCCTACAAATCACAAGTAATTGGAAGGGGCATAAAGGTCTTAAATAATTTGAAAAATAATCTTATTAACAAATAACCTGATTCATTAGGCAGTTAGGTAAATCTAAGCATTTAACTAGCATTCAAGAAGGCAAGATACTTATTTATGTTAATAAGTCTCGAGTCTTATTTATGTTGGGCAGTGATGTTTGACGTTTATAACATTAGAATCTAGGGCACTGAAAGAGTTTGTATGGATAAAGAATGGAAAGTTATTACATAAGGTTGCCTTGGTTACTCCTTGAACTGCTCAGATAACATTGACTATCCAGGTGAGGAAAATGGATACAGTTGATACACTGTAAAAATGAAAAAATAATTTTCTAAATAAAAAGCCTTCTCCTAAATAAAGTCATACTGTATTGTTTTAGTTAGATGCTAACTGCGAGCATTTACAAAAATTTCGCCACTCTATGCCTTAGATGAAAATTCTTCTGATCATTTATTTTCGAGTGAAATTCATTAAATCTAAGACTCAATTTCATATATGTTTGATCATTTTTACCTTGGTTTTTAATCTCAGCATATATTGTAAAATTACCTTAGTTTTTCTAAGTGGAAATATAGCTCCAAAGTAAATAAATGAAATTAACTTACTAAAACGATGTAAAAAAAAAAAACTTGTATTTTGACATATTATAGATTTTTAAAAGAACACTGTGTTTTGAAATCACATGTCAATGATCATAAACTGATCGATATCTTTCATAGTTCATTTACGGACATGAGTCATGTGATTTACATAAGAAGACTAGGAAATCTTCAGACAGGGATGAAACATGATAAAGATAACCTTCAGATTTTAACTTATGGTTGAATTCTTTCAAACATTAGTCAATATGTCAATTAGATATAAACATACGGTAAAGCAAAATAAAGAAGTCATTTTTAAAAATTTTCAAAATAGTGTATTCAGGATAATACAGGTCCAGTTTTAAAATATTTTAAAAGCCTTTCCACATTTAAAAGGACACCGCCTGTAACTATAAATTCTAGCACTTAGTCATGATAGCCATATACTTCAACAAAACATTTTACATTAAGAAATCATAAGATATATTGAAACTATTTTCACATTTGCCTACTTTTCCTTTTTCTGTTTTCCTTTTAATTATACAAATGCTTTATGGAATAACTGTCTGGAGTAGACAAGAGGAAAAGTACTATGAACATAAATACAAAAATAAAATTCTGGTATCCATTAACATTCTCTGTTATGGAGAAACATTATTGCAAATGTGCTAATATTTTCATCACAAATTGTGCCAGTACATGTTTAAATATTAGACAAACCACTTGGTTGAAAAACTTTGCATATAAAAAGTCAAATATTCTAACAATTCCAGGTCATTAGGAGGTTTCATGTGTCCATAAACAGATGATATTCTCACATCCTAATATATGAGCATAAGTTAATTTTGGGTATATGTAAATATTTAGATTGTGGTTACTGTAAAATAGTATAAAGATTTCCTTATATTTTATGTAACAAATGAATTAAGTTCTTTAGAGGAGAAAAATGAAGACAGCTGTTTACCAGAATTATATTCAGATCCCAAAATTTAAAGGTTTTGTATGTGTGTATGTATGTGTAAATAGCAATAAAAGAAAGATTCAAAAGTTTGCTAAGTTTTTTCTTTTTAAGCCCTTTAAGTAATGATATAACTAGAAACTACGTTTCATCTCAAAGGAAAAACCACAGGTGATATATTCTCATGCTTCAGGTTAAAAACCTCTCTTAAAAGGCTAGGTTTGCGAAAGCCTTCCTAAAATTATGCTTCTGTTGTTACTATCAATTTGATATTCAGCCAGAAAAATTAAAAATAATTATTAATCCCAAAGCATACTTTCAAAATTTCTACTAAGAATTATATTAAATCAAACCAAACTACAATTTTAGAGAGATCAAACTGAGTAGGAGAGAGCATGGTATGAAAATTTACTCTCCCTTTCATCTAAGCCACACACTATAGGTCTCAATAACTATACAATTACTCTTGTAATTGACTGATTTCTTTACACTTAAGGATCATTATAACCTGCCATATTAGTTTAATTTAACATAAAATCGTAATACAGAAATTTGGTCACAGTAGGGGATATCTAGATTTCTTCTGCATTGAAAAGAATGGTTTCCATTTATCTGTGTTTACAAAAAATAGCACTGCTTAAGAAACAAACTAAACAACTAAAATGTTCTCATCCCAAAAAGACCTAAAGCTCTCAAAATAAAAGAAAGCCTTTCAATAACTCAGAACACTGGGATTTTAATATTAAAAATTTCCTAATTTAAATGAAATGTGTCAGAGTACTCAATCTTCTTTATTAAATAGAGCTATTTTACTAAGGCATTATGTTTTCATCAAAAAAGTATGATAACATTTAAATTATGTGTAAGAAAATGCATATTTTTAGTTAATTTAAACTTTATAGCTTTTTCAAAAAGCTGTATTCCTACAACTAATAAAAAAGTATGCTGAAGGCACTGTTCTTTTAACTGGTTAAAGGCACACACAGTTTAGGGTGTCCACCTAAATCTTTGTCAAAAATCTAAATAATTCATTTAAATAGCAGGTGAATCACTCATTCTAAGAGAGTCCTCAAATGCCACATTCTCCCTGAAACCTTACTGAATATTCTGGTAGCAATTCTCTGCATATTCCAACAGCATTTTGAGTTTATTTCTCTTATAATCCTCACTTCAGTATGCCTTGTGGTATGGTTCATTCTTTACAGATCTCCTTAGTCTGCTAAATCTCATGTTCCTGTGGACAGGAGTGGAATTGTATCTGTCCCCACAGTCTGAGGAAGAGAGTCCACACAGTCGGCATTCAGAGTCTGTTGAACAAGTGGAGAAGGTAAGGGAGAGAGATCAACACTGGTTCCCAACTATTATGTGGGTTTGTTTCCTAAAGTTTCTTTTAAAATAAAGACTGGTTTGTTTATTTATTTATTTATTTATTTATTTATTTATTTATTTATTTAGAGATGGAGTCTCGCTCTGTTGCCCAGGCTGGAGTGCAGGTTGGAGTTCAGTGGCACAATCTCGGCTCACTGCAACTTCCGCCTCTCGGGTTCAAGCAATTCTCCTGCCTCAGCCTCCTGAGTAGCTGGGACTACAGGCGCACACCGCCAAGCCCAGCTAACTTTTTGTATTTTAGTAGAGATGGGGTTTCACCATGTTGCCCTGGCTGGTCTCGAACTCCTGAGCTCAGGCAATCTGCCCACCTTGGCCTCCCAAAATGCCAGGGTTACAGGTGTAAGCCACCGTGCCTGGCCAAGACTGCTTCCTTTCAATCATGAATAGATACATATCAAAATAAACTGCCTCGTTTAAATACACACTGAAAAATAATATATTTGGAGCAAAGTGCTCCTGAGAACGGTTAAAAGAAACAGAAATATCGGTAAAAAGGAGAAGGCATTTAACATTTGGGAAGGGGGGTGTCAAAATGTCCCTAAGTTATTGTAACATATTAAGAAATTTATAAAACTAGTTAAAGTAGTTAAAATTTCACATATTAAACCATGTAGATTTGGTTAAAGTAAAAAGGCTTTCAGAGATTACTTACAATAATGAGTTAACAGTGCAAATTCCATGTTGTTTCATGAGAATCTTACAATGTGCTTTTCTTCCCCCCAAAAGGAAATTTTTAAACACTCTCCAGTTTTAACACAAACAAAAGATAAATATTTATGAAGGAAAACAAATTCCACAGCATTCCATACAGATTTCCAAGCAGTCTGATGATTCACAACAGGCATCCATGATGCCACAGTCCATATCACAAGGGCAGTTACAATCATCCCCCATCTCGTCACCACAGCAACAGCAGCAGGCTTCTGAGGTGCAGATGCCACATGACGCTTGTCCCAGGACAATGTTGCAAAGGGTCAGGAATTCGCAGAACAAGCAAGCCAGGATACAGTGGACACAACAATCTTCATTTTCAGTGATGAGGAGACCATATAGTGAGAAAAAGGAGGAACACAAAATACGTGTTATCAATTGACTCAATAAGAATTGAGCAAAATAGTTAAGTAATCCACAACCCAAATGAAGTTTGCTTTGTGAGCTGGAAGCTCAAAAAGGAGCTTAAGTTAAACTCTAGATGAGTGATCTTTAGAAGTAGATACTTAGTTCGAAAAAAAAAAAGTATTGTGTGTACGCACATGTGTTCACATGTATTAGATTATTACTCTCACAAACTGTGCAAT
Source organism: Homo sapiens (assembly GCF_000001405.40). Classification (NCBI taxonomy): domain Eukaryota; kingdom Metazoa; phylum Chordata; class Mammalia; order Primates; family Hominidae; genus Homo; species Homo sapiens. The sequence continues at coordinate 115,015,411 of NC_000007.14, read as the reverse complement.
GACCCTTGGTCCTAGATACCACTTCTCTATCCTTCTTACTCATCTTTCTATATCCTATTGCTCTTTATAACACTGGGCTAAAACAACTGCATTATAGTTATTAAAGTCCTTCAGAAATAGAAATTTCCTTCAATTGCTCCACCCACCTGCTCTAAAATTGGAAAAGAACAAACTTAAATAAGAAATGTTTTATATATTATTGAAAAATTAATTCAATAGTTAAACCAGAATCCATTAAGACTTCACTTTCCAATACAAATGATTCAATTTCATGGTTTTAGTCTTTTTATTTCACAAATATTAAATAAAAACAGTGAGACTCTCTGGTTGGGTCCAACTATCATTTCTAGAACGGTTCTTCTGCCTACTTCTAACAAAGGAATTTGTACCTTAGCAAATGTGAATAATGACACAGTAACATTGCTTTCCCACTTCCTTTGGTGGCAAAGAACTTTAACATCTCTGTTATCTCCTGACACATCTCTAATAATGTAATGCCTCTCTAAACAACAATGTTCATTAAACTTCAAAAACTGATTTAAAAAATTGAGAAATCAAACAAATTATAATTTAATAAATTTAGATTCTAATGTTCTAATGTCCATTCCTTTATAATTCTGGGGCAAGTGAGAGGGGTAATGGAAGGAAATTTCTATTTCTAGATAACTTTAACACATGTAATAACATCATTTAAAACCAATGTTATAAAACATTTGCCTCATATCAGAAATAGTTGTGAATTTTTACCAGAATTAATTCTGGGTTGTTTTGTGTGGGTTCCTTGTTTTTTTGTTTTTGTACTTTGTATAATGTAAGTTTTAATAAGAAGATTCCACAACCTACAATAGCGATAAGACACAACAACCCCACCCTCTTACCATTGTCACATGTCCTTTGTGTTTCTGTATTTGGCATTAAAATTAAGTGCCTTCGATGGAGTGTCAGCAAACTGAAAACCAAAGATGTAGGAAAGAAAACCAGCTTGTTGCTTGGCAGCCATGCTATAATAAAAAATCATGCGCTTCTCTATAGAATGCCATATAACTGCAAGTAGATGTGAATTGACAGAATCCCTCTACTATAACTTCCTTGGCTACAAATGCTTCAGGTAAAGAAAAACAAACACCAGGGTACCTACGGCAGTCTCTTAACTCTGCAGGCCTATCCCTAAGCATCCCATCCTAAACTCCCTAACTCCTTGAACACCCCTCTGTTTCTCTGCAGTCTCTAACTTTGTAGAGAATTCAGAGGATGAAAGGAGAAAATGTGGAAACACAAAGTCATACACTCCACTTGGCAGATGGTGAAAAGGAGGAAGGGTCAGAGAGTACTCAAAAGGGAAATTCCAGAGTTGTGTTTGTAGAAGGACACACTGTTCTTTCCTTTCTTTTTAGTGCCAAGCCCACTTTTACATATGATGGTCCATGCAGCGACTGGAAAAACAAAAACAAAAACAGAGTTGTGAGAGTTTTCAGGTCTCTCCGTCTTCCCCTAATATTGATTTCTGGTAGTAACCAATCATTTCAGGGGATCTCTAAAATCCACCTACATGAATAAAGGCCCATGACCTTACAACGTTCTGGATTTCTAGACAGTGTCCGTGGTTTCCCTCTATCAACACTGTTTCCATACTTTCATCTCAGCATCTGTCTTATATGACTCTCTTCAGTTGAGTTTTTCCAGAATTACATTATCGTCATGATTTGTAAAATATTTGTAATGTTATAAACAGCCAGCTTCATTATTACTTAGAAGATAGTGTTTAACTGGCAGCAAGCCAGTTTTATTCAATGTACCTTCAAGTGAATATCCATATTATCTAATTCCAACAATACCTCACTGAAACCTTAACTTTCTATTCCACTATGCAATGCTTAAATATCAAGATTGAGAGAGGGACTCTACAAAAACCCACCTGACATTGAAGAACCTTTAACTGAATATTTTTAAAAGCCTAAGAGTAGTTATTGATTATGTAAATTATTTATATACTAGTCGTAAAATTTATCAGACATAGAACTATATATAATGGATCTATCCATTTTAAAGGGGAAAGAATGTCTCGTTCCAGCCTTAGAAATAGACGGTTACAATATTTTTGAAGCCTCCTTTAGTCCTTTCCTGAATCCATCTTCCTCTCCATAGAAGTAACCACTGTCTTAAGTATTAAATATTAAATGATCTTTCCCTTGTTTTTTATTGTATTTTTCACAGCAGTACATGTGTACACACCCCTAAAAAATATATCAGAATGGAAACTATACTCCGCAAATTGCTGTGAGTAGCATCTTCGGCTCAACATCCTGTATTTGAGATTTATCTATGTTGATTCGTGTAGCTGTAGTTCACTCATTTTCCAGGTGCTTAGTATTCCATTGAATTAACATACAATGATTGATGTATCCATTCTACTATTTTTTATTTTTCTTTTTTGAGACAGAGTCTTACTCTGTCACCCAGGCTGGAGTGCAGTGGCGCGATCTTGGCTCATTGCAACCTCCGCCTCCTGGGTTCAAGCGATTTTCCTGCCTCAGCCTCCCCAGTAGCTGGGACTACAGGTGCCGGCCACCATGCCTGGTTAATTTTTTGTATTTTTAGTAGAGATGAGGTTTTACCTTGTTGGACAAGCTGGTCTCGGACTCCTGACCTCAGGTGACCCACCTGCCTTGGCCTCCCGAAGTGCTGGGATTACAGGTCTGAGCCATTGTGCCCAGCCTCATTCTACTATTTATGGATATTTTGGTCATCATCAGTGTTTTTGGTGCTCCTAACATCGCTGTTCTTAACATTGCAGTTTGAAACAATCTTATCCAAGTCTCCTAACATACATGCTAAGTAACCAGCAGTAGGATGGTTGGGTCACAGGCTTGCTCATCTTTAATCTTATTAGATAATGCCAAATTTGTTCCCAAGATTGTTGCTCCAAAATTTACTCCCACAAACCAAGTATGAGAGTGCTCATTACTCCACATTCTCACCAATCTTTGAAACTGTCACAATTTAACATGTGCAAGTTGTGTGTGAAATGGCGTCTCATGGTGGTTTTATTTTGCCTTTCCTTGTTTCCTAATAGGTTTGGACATTTTTTCATGTTCATTGGCCATTCATGTTTTCTCTTCTTTGAAATGAGTGTTCAGCATGTTCATGTTTTTCCCTAACTTTTATATTGGGTTGCCTCCTTTTTCTTATTAATTTGTAAAGGTTTTTCAGATATTCGAGATACTGGTCCTTTGTTAAATGATTGTCTTCTCTCAGAATGTGACTTGTCTTAATTAAAATAAACTAACAAAAGGGAGATAAGTTAACTTTTGAACTCAGAGAGTTTAAGGTGAGGAAGGGAAAGCCAAATTAAATCTTGTTTGATAACACTGGATATGGGATTACATGGCTGAGGAAGTTAAGTGACAGATAGAAAAATCTGATAATTAGCAAAAAGAAGAAGAGGTGTTAATAAGATTTGATAGCAGAATGAAATAAAAAAGTTTTAGTGTCTGATTCAAACCAAGGAACTCAGCTATGCTGATGACAGAAAGGCGGAAGAAACCAATAAGCAATTAGGAGAGAGAGATTGGATGTGACTGGTGTGAGATCAATAGCCCTGAGGATGAAGAGAGATGGGAGTGACATTCCAAACTAAACCACTAGTTGCCTCCCATAGGATATATTCATTTGAGAATTAATATTTCTTCCAGATCTTAGACTACAATGACACATGTCATTAAGATTTTAAAAGCCTTAAGCCAAGAAATGAATCTCTCATAACTCCTACTTTAGTAAATAAGATTTACAAATTAATTTGCCTGTTAAAATATCATTTTATTTTTAGTAGACAAAGAATTTTTTTTAAGTTCTTAGGTCTAAATAGATCCAACACTCCTTTGCTAACTTATCTTCCTCAACAAAACCTGTTTTCTATAACTAATTGGTGTAAGTGGTTGCTTTACTAGAATGGGAGCTCTAGCTTCAATGCAGGGAAAGTATTTATTTGCTGTTTTCAAAATTGAGAAACATATTATCTTAAAAGTAGAGACGTTTTCATCAATTTTTCATTTTTGAAAAAAATTAGAAAATTACTTTGTACTAAACTCTCTTGTAAGGTCTTTATAAATATTGATTAATTTTATTCTAATAATACTCCTAAGAAGTCATACCGGTATTATGCCTATTTTACCAATGCAGAGACTCATTCACAGAAAATTTAGGAAATTTTCCCAAGGTCATAGAGGGAGTGAGTAGCAGAAACAGGATCAGGACCCAGGCAGTTAACCTCCTGAGACCATGCTCTCAGTCAGCAAGCTATGCTGCTGCTACAGGAGTGGGTCACTTCTAACACTGGGTTGATGTTCCTTGGAGGAAGGTCAGTTACAAATCCAAAACTTTCTGCTGATTTGTTTTGTTCATCTATCTGTTTTTAGCCTTGGTTTGTGTTCCTTTTCTTTTTAAAAAATTATTCTGAATTTTCATTTTAATAAAAAGTTGAAAGTAAATGTTACCCTTCAATATGTAAGAACAAGTCATCACTAAGTTGAAGAATTAATAAACTGCCAGTTGCATTGTTAAAATAGACATAAGAGAGAAGGCAGTGTGGAAGGAGATGATGTCTCAATCAAAAGAAACAAATCTATAAATTTAAAACATAAACGTTAAGGACTGCAGTTACATGATCAAGAGCTCCATATGCAGTAGCTATTTATGTAAATATTAAAACTTACAAAATGGAGACATTGTTTTAAAACAAAGTCCTTTATAATTTACTAGAAAAGCACTTTGGGTTACTCTGAAAAACCAAATCTATTAACAGGCATCTAGAGAAGCCACAAACCAAAATGCATTTACAAGATCATAGAGATATTAAACAACATGTATCTACAGAAGTATCTACCAGAAACACATTCATATTCTGTATTTTTTTAAATAGAGAAATATCTAGAAATTACAACAAAAAATTAGCCAAAAAAGGTTCCTTAAATTCTACCAGATCTTTAAATGATCTGATTGTTATTCCTTGTCAAAAATGAATTTTTTTTTTGGTGGGTCTTTTTATAAAACCCTTCTATTTGTAACCTTCTATTTCTAAGTCATAGTTTGACTGTGACTCAGGGTAATGAAAAGGTTAAAATAAACTAAGAAGAAACAGTAGTTATAGTTCCTATTCCTACCACTGCCAACAGGAATCAAGAGTCATAAAAGGCACAATAATGGTGGTTTTATTTGAGGCAAAGAGAAGATCATAAGAATGATCAAACTTAAGAAGGCTTGAATAGAGAAACAAACTTTTTTTAAAAAAATGGGTCCTCTGCATCCATGTGGCTTGCAGTCAGGAATCATCTTTTTCCCCTGTTCTTAAGATTTCAGTTTTTATGGTTTTATTCAGTCATTATTTACAGTTTTTGCCAAAACTGTTTAACCTCTGAGAAGACCACTTGGTTCTGGGAAAGATGCCTGTCCAAAACTGGGCCAAGCAAGAATTGCACAATTCAGTGTACTTGGAGGAGAACTCAGCACAAGACTGGCAGCTACTGTAAATTTAGGAAAACAGAGTAACACTCCAGAAGCCAAGTAGCTAAAAGGAGAGCATAAAAGGAAATCTTTACTATGTTTGATTTAAAAAGCAACAAAACCTGTTATGAATTACTGAAGACACAATCCCAAACAAAATCTTTGAGTCCTACGAAAGGTCATCAGTGTTACGCTTAGGCAGCTGGCCTATTATGTGGAGAGCTTCTAGCATCTCAACAGCATTAAAGTAACAATTGGAACTGAATTAAACAGCATCTTAGAAGTCTGGTGAAAATGTCTGTGACTGATCCCAGGAACTCTGTGCTGCTTAAAATGAGAGTGAAGATTAGCTTTGTAAAAACAAGTTTATAATGAAATTATCCCAATTGATACGGATACCTGATCAGTATGTGGCCAAATTACACTAGGGAATATGAGGAATGCAGTTTATTAAAGTGAAAGGAACCCTGATTGAGCCATCAGAAAACTATTTACAAAATAAACTCAGCTCGCCTCTAAACGAGCCTCTTTTATCTCTTTCATTTCCTCCTTTTAAGATGTGGTATGGCAGGTGCTCTGAATTTCTTGGAACAGAGATACCAAACAGCTAAAGTGGAGTACAGGAAAGGACAGACAGCAGAGAATTCTGAGAATAACTCACAACCCATTTTTAAGAGAATGCATATTTGAATGGGTCTTATCTTATCTCTAATAAAGTTTCCTATGAAATAAGATGCTTGAAAGTACTTTCTTAATCAAGTCCCCATCATGTAAACTACATGCTGAGAAACAAAGGTTTATTAGCATTTAACAGGCCAATAATATGCCAAAGACCATGGATTAAAGCATGAACAATAAGAGTTATGTGTATTTAGTAATTTAGGAAATTGCTTTGAGGTCAAACCTGACTCTGTAGCTTTAACATCAACGCCACAGAGCACCCCCAGTTGTTCCCCATTCTTTAGCTGCTACGACTATCACCTGCCCAGTGGCGGTATAACAGGACTCTGTGCAGAAGTCTGACTGGGTGAAGGCTTTCCTCTTCCTAGATACTGCTTTACTGTGACTGTTCTTTCCCAATAGGAAAATCAAAGAGCAAGCTAGAAGCAGGCTGTGGTTATCCTGAATCACAGCCGAGATTGCTAAGTGAGCATCTAGCCTCTGTGAAAACCCAGCTGTGAGGGACCAGACACAGACATCTCTGGGGAGTTCTGCTCCTCAAGTGTGTGTAGGGGCGGGAAATGTTTACTAATACCACACGGTAGCTCAGCTCCAAGTAGCTCCATGTCTCCAAGACAGAGGACGCACAGCACTTCTGGCCAACAGCCCTAGCCTGACCTGCTGCCTGAATAAATTGGCCTAAAGTGAGCCTCCTACACAGAACGCTCTGGCACAAGACTCTCCCAAGAGGCCACACATCTTAGCCAGAATCCAGTCAACATTTTCCTAGTGGGGAACAAAGTGAGATGGGTCAGGAGGTAAAAAGAAAGTTAGAGAAAAGCTACATTTTCCACTGCAGGACAAAGAACACCATACTTTGGGAAATTGAACAATAATCTTTACTATTATCTTTCCTCTCAACAAAGTCAAAAGAACCTAGGAAAAAAAAAAAAACAGCACTGCCCTCCCACACCCCACAAAGTGACTCCTCAATAAGTTTCCTACTACAGGTGCAAATCCTAGACTCCATCTCCATCCTATGGGAGTTGCTTTCATATTTTAAATGACAGCGAGAGGATAGCAGAGATTTTTTCCTTCTATTTGTTTACCCCATTGCCTGATCTGTGGTTGATTCATTAAATATTCCAAATTCTCAGAGACATCGAATCCAGTAATTGTTGGTCATGCCTTAACTCTAGCACTGGTCAAGTAGTCCCTTCTAAAGAGATGCATTTTACAAAGTCTAGGAAGTTAGGCTGGGGTGCGGTAGTTCATTCCTGGAATCCCGAGGCAGGCAGAATCCCAAGGTGGGCGGATCCCTTGAGCCCAGGAGTTTGACTACCCTGGGCAACATGACAAAACTCTGTTTCTACCAAAAAAAAAAAAAAAATTAGCTGAGTATGGTGGCGAGTATCTGTAGTCCCAGCTATTTTGGGGAGGGGGTCGGGGGGTGGGGGTGCTAAGCTGGGAAGATCACCTGAGCCCCAGAAGGTCGAGGCTATAGTGAGCCATAATCATGCCACTGCACTCCAGCCTGGGTGTCAGGGTGAGACTCTATACCAAAAGCAAAACAAAACAAATTCCAGGAAATATAAATATATATATATATATATATATATATACACACACACGCACACTAGATAGATAGATAGATCTCAGAAAATATTTTGATTCTTAGAAGCTTAACACAGAAATCTGAAGAGGGGTAAAAGTTTAGTTATTTGAAGTGCTTATTTAAAATTTTTTACCCAGAAAGTCAGTTTTTGGGCAGAAAGGAGGGAAAGAAAGGCTAGAAAATATCAATGGTGCAAATAATATTTACATTCACATACTGAATCTCTACATTTTAAGATCACAAGCTTTAATAGCTGGTAATAACATTACTGTCCTCATAGGGTTATGATGAAGATTAAAAGAGATAATGCACATTAAGTACTTAATAAAGGATTTAACATGCAAGTGCTTACTAAATATTATTACTGTGACAGCAGTGAAGATGATAGCAAAATATTTATTCTAGGAAAACCACACCTCTCCACCTACCTATGTTCCATTTACTCTGATTACCACACGGACATCGGACCATTCTATTTTAACCTAAGGAGGTTTGTAAAAGGCTCTGACCACAGCTCAAACACTTGAAAGAATGAACCAAGAAGGCAACTCTAAGAAACAGAATTTGCAGAGGAGTGAAGCATAAGTCTGCCCAGAGAGAATTAGTAACCTTGTGTTTGGCTACAGCAGAAGATTTAAAAATAATAACCTATTTTTTCCATATTTCAATTATTATCTATTTATTTTCTCCAGAAGCTAGAAACTATACTTTACTTGAACCTATTCAGTGCTGGCTATTTTCAGTTGGCCAGTTGAAATATTTCTAATATAAGAAGTTTAAATAATAACAAAGGTGAATATAATTTCTGGATAATAAAATCTACTTTAGATCTTAAACACATTTTCCCAGAAAGGATCAATGTGCAACAGTTCACTCAAGTTGGTAACAATACCATTTATGGCTAGGACAAAAATACATGCAAGTAAATCGTCTAGTTTTAATGAAAATTCATATTGGGGTAAAAATAACCCAAAAAATCTCTCCCAAATGCTTAATATATTTTCTAATTTTATTTTCCCAACTGTGTTTATTTCACAATTCACATTTCAGCTTCATCTCTTTTCATTTGTCCTTGGCTTATACATTGTGCAAGTAACAAATGAAAATAAATCAGTTTTGTCTTGCTAACAAAACTTAAACCATAATGTACCCACTGGGTGATTCTGTAAAAGATGATGATGATGATGATGATGATGAGTAAAATAACACCTTGGTCACATCCAGTGTTTTCAGTCACTGATATTAGCCTACTGCAGAGATGCACAGGGTTGGCCAGGTCACCTAGGACATAAGGTCTTTATGGCAGCATGGGAGGAAACAAACACACTAAAAGAAGGCTGACTGATACTGACAATATTCACAGGACTGGGATCATACACAACAATTCTCCAGGCACTTGACCAGCCAGGGCTCAGCAAGAGTCCAAAGGGCACTTTTGCAATCCAAAGGGCTGAGAGGTCCCCAACAGTGACTGTTCCTGTAGGACTCCTGGAGGCAAGGGCAGCATCCCTAGCAGGAGGTGCAGACCTCACACAGGCAGGAGGAGCCTCGCCTGAGAAGACCCAGGATGCACTCCCCAGCCCTGACAGAAGAGACAGGCCCCAACCAAAGAAGCACAGCGGTCTAACAGGCCAGGCAAGATGAAGCGAAGCAAGCAGAGTGAAATGTTACAGCGAAATGAGACACCAAAGCACGTTTCAAAGCAGTGCACAGGAGGTAAATCCTATTATTTATGGAATTAATTTGTGAATCAATGATGACATTGTTACTCTTTCCACATTCCTCCCTCTCCACCCAGGTTATCTATTAATACCATTTGATTATTTTAAGGCACTATTGCAAGCCACAGATGAACAGGACAGCATGACATTGAAATTATAAGGTATAAATACCTCCGCCTTAATTTAGTGTACAAACAATTCCAGAGCTAAAAACGATCTATGAACATGTTGTTTGCAAGTATACTCTAAAATTGCTGAAAACAGATAAACCTAGTTTTCTTATGCAATAAAAATTTTGTAGCCTAGTGTATTATTACTTTAAATTGGGGAAAATAAGGTAAAATTAAAACCGTCTTCCTGAGGTGCTTCCCAATTCCCTGTGTTTCGTCTGAGCCACTCCCCAACTGAGTTATTACTGTCACAGCTCATTACCTCCTATTACCATTTGGGCAAGCTAATGCCAGAACTACAAAAAGAAAGGGTTGTAAGTGTCTGTGGTTGTTACAGCTGTTTGTTTGGTTTAAATAAGGCTATTAGCAACAGGGACACAACATAGTGGGGGCACAAAAACAAAGGTATTTCAATTAATGATCACCCTTCCATCTTCATAAGTGGCAAAGACAGCCAAGTATTAGTGTATGTATAAGGATTGTGATGCTGGAAACTTAAAACCAGCTTTCTGGTCTTGGCTCTGTCACTAATTGCCTGAGTGAATATCTTGAACAGGTCATTTCATTTGGTGTCGATACACATACAAGGAAAGGGAAAATGCTAAGTTTGTTTCAAGCTCCAAAGTTCTAGGAAGATATAATCTATTTTCTATAACTAATAGATAGTTAAATCTAGCACAGGGTATTTTCTTGGCCTTGAACAGGACCATTACTGGGTTTAATGCAATATTCAAAACAGAATGGAAAGTTAATTAATGCGGAATATAAGTTGACTGTAAGTTGGCTAAGCCCCAGGAGCAAATAGCCATACTGTACAGAAACCCCACAAAGACAGGGCCTTGCCTGCCTTGTCGTAGATGCTGAATGTGGGCCTGGAAAGTAGGCTTCATATAAATAATGGCCAATGGTCAAAGTGTAAACTGTGTACTCTGGTCCATTAAAGACATTAGAGGCACATGGAATTAGCCACAAAAGACTCTCTGAGAGCAGTGAGTGCATAGGAAGTGGAAAAAAAAAATGGAATAAATACAGTCTTCATTCCTAACCAGCATAGGAGCCTGGAGACAATGCCTTCATGGTTAAATGTTCATTCAACAAGTCTTCATTGAGCATTTGACTACATGTCAGATTCTGTCCAAACTTCAGAGACAAAGATCAAGGAATGTAAAATGTAGGTAAATAAAAATATAGTTACAATACAGTGCCATAACTGTTGTGATTTGGACAAACACATCGTGCTGGTAGAGTAAGTAATGAGTTCAATTGTTTCGTTTTTTGTCCTTTTTTTCTTTTCTCTTTGTGGAGAACAGCTTCTCACTATATTGCCCAGGCAGGTCTTCAACTCCTTGGGTTCAGACTATCCTTTCGCCTCTGCCAGGCTAAGTGCTGGGATTACAGGCATGAGCTACTAGGAGTATAGGCATGAGTCACCACGCCCAACTGGAGTAAATAATGAGCAAGGAGTGTTACATAGTAAGTGCCTCGCAGGCATTACCTCTGCATGACAGACAATCTCATAAGGTGAACATTTGGCTCATTTTATAGATGAGGAACCTGAGGTTCAAAATCTTTATATAGTGGCTTGAGGTGCAAAGCTACTAAGGGGAGGTCTGGGATTCAAATTTAGATCTATGTGATTCCAAAGGCTGTTCTCATCACCAGTATATATAGTGTTTCCATATTTTATTGTATTTTTTAAATTTTTATTTAGCAACCTTTTATATAGTGCTTACTAAAGTCCAGGCACTGCTGTAAGTAGTTTATAAATATTTACTCACTAAACTCTTAGAATAATTTTATGAGATAAATGCTATTATTAACCTCATTTTACAGATGAAAAACGGAGGCACAAATGGATGGAATATCCAATATCCAATTCAGATTTGTAAGATGGAGCTCTGAAAGGGAAGAGGAGAGAACATAGGGTAGAAGGAGAAAGTAAGGGTGATTCCTGAGTTATGTCTTAAAGAAGAAGCATATGTTAGATGAAATAAAAGCAAAGATTGTTCCAGCCAGTGGGGAAGTTATGCAAAGACACAGAGGCAAGCAGACAGTTTTAGAGATGCCAGTGGCTCCATATTTTTGTTGGATCTAAAGAAACCAGGTAAAACATCTTCAATTTTCCGTGTCAGAAATGAGGAAGCAGGAACGACATGCAGTGATAATATAGTGCCAGTGGGGTCAGACAGGATGACTTTGAGGAAATATCAAGAAAGTAGGATTAGCATGAGTTGATAAGACCTGGGATGAAGCAGTGATGAGAAGAATCAAGCGTGACTCCCTGGTTTCTGAAGCCATTTACTAAGGAAGAAATCCAGGAGGAAAAACAGTTTGGTTTAAAATATGTTGAGTGTGAGCCTTGCTAAGTCTGGGGATACTCAAATGAAAATGTTCAAAAGGCAGCTGCAGACCATGATCTGGAGTTTGCGTGGTAGTTAGTCTGGGGCTGGGGGGTGAAAGGTGGCTGAAACTGTCATAGTGAATGGGCTTATTCAACCACCCAGGAAGAATGTACTCAGTGACAAGGGATTCAAGGTAACAAAAGCATTTAAGGAAGGGAGGAGCTGGCAGAGGAGACAGAGGAGTAAACATGGAAGTAGAAACTCTAGGAAAGGGAGATCCCATGGAAGTGAGAGAGAACAATATTTCAAGGAGGTTGTGTCAGATACTCTGTTTGGCCAGAGAAATTTTGGCGATGTGTTAGGGCTAGAAATGAATAGCAGTGACGTGAGGAGTGACTGAAAAGTGAGGGAACAGGGACCGCACATAGCTATCTTTCCAAGACATCTATTTGTAAACAGAAGGAGAAAACTGAGGATGCAAAGTCCATGAAGAGATACACTCCCACCTACACACACTCACTACACATATATTTTTAGACAGAAAAGACTGACATATGTTCACTGTTCTCCAGAAGAAACTTCAAACCGAATGCAGAAAGGGCTACTCAATGGAGTGAGTGTATGAAAAGATGGGCAGTGATGGGGTGTGTGCTGCAACAGGAAGAGCTGTATCTCCTCCTTTGAATGGAAGGTAAAAACAGGCTCAGAATCAGGTAAGTTTGTAGGTAGGGCCCAGGGTGGAGAGACCCTGAGGAAAAGCTGGATGGCCTCTTCTTCCCCTGAGGGGGAGGGAGAGTTGCCAAGTGCTTCTTTAAAAAGAACAGCACCAAAATGAGATGGCCACTGTGGAAAATGGAAGAGGGCAGGTCTGCTTGTCTTTGTAGTTCACTGCTGTGTCCCCAAACTGTACCTAGAAGAGTGTGGCACTTATCTGCCACAGAGTAAGTGCTCAAGAATGATTTGTTGCAGGAATTTGGGACATATTGAAGTTCTGTGGAGGGATTCTGAGGCTCTGGTTGAGACCTGAGACCACACATGCATAGTGACAGTGATTTTTATGGTCATCAAGGTTTCTTCAGGAGTGTTTAGCTCCCTAGTATAGACAGGGGAGTTGAAAAGACAGAGAATCCAGATTTTTGGTTCTGAAAGGATAGTATGCCAGAATGACAGAGTCACAAGTAAGTTCAATGTTTCATCAGGAAATCCAATTCTGGATAACGGGAAGCCAGTTTCTTTTTGTTTGTTTGTTTGTTTGTTTTTTGTTTTTTGAGACAGAGGCTTGCTCTGTCATCCAGACTGGAGTGCAGTGGCACAATCTCGGCACACGGCAACCTCTGCCTCCTGGGCTCAAGCAAGTCTCCTGCCTCAGTCTCCCAAGTAGCTAGGATTACAGGCATGTACCACCACACCTGGCTAATTTTTGTATTTTTAGTACAGACAGGGTTTAGCCATGTTGGCCAGGCTCGGCTCAAACTCCCGACCTCAGGTGATCTGTCCCCATTGGCCTCCCAAAGTGCTGGGATTACAGTTGTAAGTCAGTGTGCCGGGCCAGGAGGCCAGTTTTAAACATATTTATACACATACATATATATTTTTTTCATGGTTAATTAGAGTTCAAGAGCCAGTAGGTGCATACTTATTTCTAACTAAGGGTGTAATTTTTAAAAGCAACAGGAACAAAAAATCAAAGGCACTTGATTAAAAAATAAAACAGGACTTCTCTACAAACTCCAGCACACTGGCCTGGGCATACAGCAGACCCTTAATAAACACCTGTTGACTCCATGCAATTCAGTTTTATGTCCTAAGGTAATGATGGCTTTTGGTTTTAGCTTCTCCTGTCACTCCACAGAACACATTTTCTAGGAGATATCTACCATAGATGTTAAAATGTTCCTTCTAAAATAACTACTCTTCTGTCATTCCAAAATGCAATTTCTGCATCCTTCCCTGAGCATAATTATTAGGAAAAAAATAAACTTCAACTTCTAGTGTCAACTTCAAATTATGTTATGTTATGGTGATAGTATTCCCAAGAGGTCCAGTTCCTCCAGTTTGATTTCCCAAGAGAAGTTATAGTGGAAATTTAGGCAGGTTTAATATTTCTTTGGAAAACTAGTATATTAATCCATTTTGCTCTTTTCTTTCAATTATAGTCACATTTCCCCCAAACTCCTGGATTTCTCAGTCTTCTAAGAGACAACTACTATTTATTTGTAGGAATATTTTTTCTCCTTCAAAATGGGCAGAATGATTAATATCCTTGAGCAAACTACTTAATAATTATTCAATTTTATTATTCTAATTACCTCCTACATCCACTTGAGAGGATGTCTACCATCTTCCATTTTTCCCTTCAGTCAAGTATAGAGGAGGAAGGAAAGCTTGTACAAATTACCAGAGTCCTGTGCTTGGAAGGGGGCCTGAGGCCACACTATGTTGCATATCAATTAAAATCCCATGGGAAGATTTGCCTGAAAACCCTAAAAAATATGTGTCACCAGGTTGTTGACTTCGAAGCACTTCCTCTGTTTTCTCCTGCACTTATTTATGGAAATTTAAATTAAGACTATCTAAATTGTGGCATATAAAACCCAAGAAGTTCATTTTCTCCATTCTTCTGCATCCTGGCGTTGCTGACTATGCACTGGTAAAAGCATGACATTAAAATGCAAACATGAAAACAAGTTACTTAGGAATTTAATATTTAACATAGTTTTTTAAGGTGAGAAATTGAATATGTCCTTTTTTATCATTTCAATTTAATGTAAGCAAAAAGAAGCTGTTCAAAAAAAATCTGTGTTCTCTGCATTATGAAAATTACATACAGAAATGCAAATTTATAAAACATGTATGTTACAAAATAAATTACTTTTACTATAAAGAATGCCTTGGATTCCGAGGGACAAGAGCAGGCATTTTTAGTTTTCTGTGGTGTGCCATGGAGATAAAGTATTTTTAAATCCATAACATAGAATACCCAGGATTTTGAAGGAAACCAATTATGTTTAAATACAGGGACACATTCTGAGGAAGGGGTCATTAGGTGATTTCCTCGTATGAACATCAGAGAGTGCACTTACACAAATCTGGATGGTATAGTCAATGACATACTTAGGCTATATGGTATGGCCTATCACTCTTAGGCTACAAAGTGGTTCAGCATGTTACTGTACTGAGTACTGTAGGTACCTGCAACACAATGGTAAGTATTTGTATATGTAAACATAGAAAAGGTACAGTAAAAATACAGTGTTCTTATTTTATGGGACCACCGTTCTATATGTCGTTCATAGTTGAATTAAATGTTATGTGGCCCTATGACTATAGTTGATAATATTAAAGTTGAGGTAGAATAAATATGTGCTTCTTTTTAAAGACATTAATAACAAGTTCTAGTGGTGATCTGATAAATACTATTTTAAAAGTAGTGATTAGTATATATAATACTTTATGATTTCTGCAACAACTTTAATATATGAAAATGTCATCAACAAAGACACAGGTACTACTAATGCCACTGAAGTTTATTGCCTATATGTATAATTGAGAGAAATAACAAATTTAATTTAAAGTTTAGAAATTAGTGAAATTAATTTGGTTATCTTTTCTCAGACTTACATTGGACCCTCCCCCAATGCTAAGGACCCCTGAGCTGGAGGTTCATAAGTGAATCTTCCTAATACCTTCCTGGTATATTCAACTTAAACCACCTATATTTAAAAAAATTCCCCTTACAAGAGTTTTTAAGAAATATGTCAACTTTAAACTATGAGGTTCCTTCCATACTATTTTACAAAATACTAGTTGAGAATTATATATATTAATTATAAAATATTCTCAAAACCACAATAGTTTAACACTATATGTAAGTAATTTAAAAAATAAAAGCATTTCTAAGAGAAATTAGTATTTCTATGTTGCTTCAGTTAGTTTTGGGAGTCAGGGTGGGTCATCTTGGAATGTAATTTTAAAAAAAAACAGCAAATAGCTAAACAAGTATGTATTTTGGAGGAATAATAATCAATTCAAATACCATGAGAATCTAATTCAATCTAGAAAAAAAGAATCATTGTTGAAAAGTTCCGGGTGTTTGATGGAGATTTTTGGAGCTATTTCTTTTAAGCTATGTACCCATAACTCACAAACATATAAGCTAAGAATAAAAGTATCTGAAAAAGTATTACACTATTATTGTGGAAAGTGTCATTAATCACTGCCATTGGGTTTCTATAAATGGTAGTCAATAATTAAATGAAATCATGTAAAATTTGCAAATGAAACAGGTAAGGGGAGGGGAGGGAGAGAAAGTATGAAATAGAGAAATGAGAGAAGAGAGGAAGGAGAGATGAGAAAGAGACATGGGGAACAGAGACAGTCAGACAGAGATATGGAAGGTGTACTTTGGAGTAACAACCAAAATGAGATAACCAAAACTCTGGAGGTGGCAGGCTTGATCTGCAAAGATAGATGCTCCTCCTACTAGAGCATAAAACAGTCACACCCCTCGACATAAGTGGTACCCTTTTGTTCCTATTCCTTTGAAATCTTCTTTTTTAAAAACTTAATGTCCGAAATTAATTTTCCCCCAATATTAACATACTCTGTTCTTAAACATTTTGGTGTCAATTCAGCCAGGCAAACAACAGATCTTTTAAGTATATACAGAGATGGAAGCACACAAAAAGAAATGGAAAGAATATAGCAACAAAACATTGGGGGGAAAACAGGTAATTTATAAAGCCACCAAAGGCAATAATAAAAAATATAAAATATAGTATTATAAGAAGTACTTTCAGTTAATGACAAAGAATATAAATATAATCCATCTAAGCTTAAAATTTAGAATGCTCTCCATTCTCTAGATTTCCAAAAGGTAAATCATGTGGCATTTGGACATGAATTAAGGCATGTATTACACATCAGTATGTTTCTTTAGTCCAGCTGATTTAAATATACTCACTCTTCCACCCTCAACAATGCAACTCATTTTTCAAAAAGGTAAAATATTTTAGCTAAAGTAAAGTTTAGACTAATGCAAAATATAAAGAAAATATTTTTATTTAACATGAGCATCTGAGATAAGGTTTTACTATAGGTGGTTATCTCAAATAACTGAAGTTGAAAGCTATATTCAATGAATAACACTTTGATACTATTTTTCGCTATGTATACCCTTTATAAACTACAAGACACTCATGAGTCATCAGACAGTTTTTGTCATAAAATTCAAACATCCTGCACAATCTGTATTTTTCCCCAAAACTTCCTCCTCTGAATTGTAGTATTATGCAGTGTCTAGTGCTATTATTGTAACTAAGAAATAATTTTTTGAAATGCTTCTAAAATCAATGGAAACTTTTAGTGTATTTTTCATCGTCCCAAATGATAAAATATTTTCTTAGGTAGAAAGTCTCCAAAACTTGTAAATCTACTATGCCATATCCTACCGGTTATTTGAAAGAGCTCCATTTGAACAAACTGAAAGTGCCTCATATGTGTAAGACACAGAACTAAAGAAGTCACTGTAAAAAATAGTGCTCTGCAGGCATGGGCCCTTTCTTTTCTCTTTCTCTTTTCTTTTCTTTTCTTTCTTTCTTTCTCTTTCTTTCTTTTTCTTTCTTTTCTTTTCTTTTCTTTTTTTTTTTCTGTTTAGATGCAGGGTCATGCACTCTGTTGCCCAGCCTGGAGTGCAGTGGCACAACCATAGCTCACCACAGCCTCAGGCTCCTGGATTCAAGTGATGCTCCTGTCTCAGCCTCCTAAGTAAAGTAGCTAGGACCACAGGCACGCAGCACCACGCCTGGTTAATTTTTTTTTTTTTTTTTCCTGTAGAGATGAGGTCCAGACTGGTCTCAAATTCCTAACCTCAAGCCATTCTCCCGCCTTGGCCTCCCAAAGTGCCAGGATTACAGATGTGAGCCACTGCCCCAGGTGACCCTTTCTTTAAAATCTGAGAGAGATAAAACACACGCGCGCACACACACACACACACATGCACGCATGCACATACACTCCCCTACAACACCACAGGGTACTTTGTAATGAATCTCCTCCCCTCTCACCTTCTCAAAAACATCATGCTCCTGCATCATCAGTGTCTCCTCTACTAGTTCATTACCAATAGCACTCAACCATGTACCCCATTCTAAAAACATTCGCCTTTATATCCTAACATTTTTACTTATTCTCCTTTCGGAAAACTCCTTGGTAGAGTAATCCAGATTTGCAATTTGCAATTTTTCTTTTCTCATTTTCTCTGGAATCCATCTCAATCACACTCTAGCCCGATCACAACACTAAAAGGGTGAAGGTCACCAGTGACTTCTACGTGACAATTTCAATGGTCACTTCTCATTCATCTTACTGGATTTCTCAGTTGCTTTTGACACATGATCACTCCCTCTGTTTTAAAATACTTCCTTCATTTGGTTTCCAAGCTGCCCCTCTTTATCCCTTCTCCATTACTAGCTACTCTTCCTCACTTTTTTGATAGTTTCTCTTCATTTTCTACAGTGGCATAATGGCCCAGGGCTTAGTTTTTGGAGTACTTTTGCACTTTATCTATGTTCTGGGCAAGAGTTCTTAATCCTGCATTCAAATTAGAATCATATAGGGAGCTTCTAAAGGATGCTGATACCTTGGACCCACTCCATTCCAAATGAATCATAATCGCTGATTTGTATTTTATTTCCTAATCCCTTTGCCCTAAAGATCTTTCTCCAAATATCCAGAGGCCAGGGTTGAGAACCCCAGTTGCCAGTGACCTCATCCACTATACATTCTGCACCTTGAAAACTCACAAAACATATCTCAAGCTGCAGACCTTTCCTTTGAACTCCCAACTCCCTTATCCAAACACTTCCTCCACATCACCACTTGTACAGATAATGGGTATCTCAAATTCAATATATTCCAAACCAAACATGACCTTCCTCCATGAACCAAACCCCATTCTTCCTATAGTCTTCTCATCTCAGTTAATGGCCATTCCTTACTTTCAACTGCTCAGGCCCAGAAACTTGGAGTCATCCTTAATCCCTGTCTTTCACACCAAAATCTCATTCTTCAGCAAATCTTGTTCTGCCTTAAAAATAAACCCAAATGCAACAACATCTCATCACCTCCATCACTGTCACCCCGATCCAATCCTATTACCTCCCATGTGAATCACAGCAATGGTGTCATGGCAGGTCTCGCTTTTTGGGACCTTGTGTACCTGTAGTCCACTATCAGCACAAAAGGCAAAGTGATGTTTAAAAATAGTAAGTCAGATCATGTCAGCCATCTGCCATAGCCTGATGCAGTTTTCCTACCTCAAAATCAAAAACATTACAATGGCTCAGTAGGCACCTAATTATCTGGTCAGTTCTTAGAGATGTTTGATTTTAGAACTGAAGTTATCCAATCTCTTCAGTTACCTTCAAGAATAACACAATGCTGGGTGGTTCCAAGATGGCCAAATAGGAACAGCTGCAGTCTTCAGCTCCCAGCATGAGTGACGCAGAAGACAGGTGATTTCTGCATTTCCAACTGAGCTTTGAAGTAGTGGTTCTCCCAGCACAGAGTTTGAGATCTGAGAACGGACAGACTGCCTCCTCAAGTGGGTCCCTGATCCCCAAGTAGCCTAACTGGGAGGCACCCCCCAGTAGGGGCAGACTGACACCTCACACGGCTGAGTACCCCTCTGAGATGAAGCTTCCAGAGGAACGATCAGGCAGCAACATTTGCTGTTCAGCAATATTTGCTGTTCTGCAGCCTCCACTGCTGATACCCAGGCAAACAGGGTCTGGAGTGGACCTCCAGCAAACTCCAACAGACCTGCAGCTGAGGGTCCTGACTGTTAGAAGGAAAACTACCAAAAAGAAAGGACATCCACACCAAAACCCCATCTGCACATTACCATCATCAAAGACCAAAGGTAGATAAAACCACAAAGATGGGGGGAAAACAGAGCAGAAAAACAAAATTCTAAAAATCAGAGTGCCTATCCCCCTCCAAAGGAACACAGCTCCTCGCCAGCAATGGAACAAAGCTGGATGGAGAATGACTTTGACGAGTTGAGAGAAGAAGGCTTCAGACGACCAAACTTCTCCAAGCTAAAGGGGGAAGTTCGAACCCATCACAAAGAAGATAAAAACCTTGAAAAAAGATTAGACAAATGGCTAACTAGAATAACCAGCATAGAGAAGTCCTTAAATGACCTGATGGAGCTGAATACTGTGGCACAAGAACTACATGATGAATGCACAAGCTTCAGTAGCCGATTCGATCAACTGGAAGAAAGGGTATCAGTGACTGAAGATCAAATGAATGAAATGAAGTGAGAAGAGAAGTTTAGAGAAAATAGAGTAAAAGAAACGAACAAAGTCTCCAAGAAATATGGGGCTATGTGAAAAGACCAAATCTACGTCTGATTGGTGTACCTGAAAGTGACAGGGAGAATGGAACCAAGCTGGAAAACACTCTGCAGGATATTATCCAGGAGAACATCCCCAACCTAGCAAGGCAGGCCAACGTTCAAATTCAGGAAATACAGAGAATGCCACAAAGATACTCCTCAAGAAGAGCAACTCCAAGACATAATTGTCAGATTCACCACAGTGGAAATGAAGGAAAAAATGTTAAGGGCAGCCAGAGAGAAAGGTCTGGTTACCCACAAAGGGAAGCCCATCAGACTAACAGCTGATCTCTCCGCAGAAACTTTACAAGCCAGAAGAGAGTGGGGGGCAATGTTCAACATTCTTAAAGAAAAGAATTTTCAACCCAGAATTTCATATACAGCCAAATTAAGCTTCATAAGTGAAGGAGAAATAAAATACTTTACAGATAAGCAAATGCTGAGAGATTTTGTCACCACCAGGCCTGCCCTAAAAGAGCTCCTGAAGGAAGCACTAAACATGGAAAGGAACAACTGGTACCAGCCACTGCAAAAACATGCCAAATTGTAAAGACCATTGATGGTAGGAAGAAACTGCATCAACTAAGGAGCAAAATAACCAGCTAATGTCATAATGACAGGATCAAATTCACACATAACAATATTAACCTTAAATGTAAATGGGCTAAATGCTCCAATTAAAAGACACGGACTGGCAAATTGGATAAAGAGTCAAGACCCAACAGTGTGTTGTATTCAGGAGCCCCATCTCACATGCAGAGACACACATAGGCTCAAAATAAAGGGATGGAGGAAGATCTACCAAGCAAATAGAAAACAAAAAAAGGCAGGGGTTGCACACCTAATCTCTGATAAAACAGACTTTAAACCAACAAAGACCAAAAGAGACAAAGAAGGCCATTATATAATGGTAAAGGGATCAATTCAACAAGAAGAGCTAACTATCCTAAATATATATGCACCCAATACAGGAGCACCCAGATTCATAAAGCAACTCCTTAGAGACCTACAAAGAGACTTAGACTCCCACACAATAATAATGGGAGACCTTAACACCCCACTGTCAACATTAGACAGATCAACGAGACAGAAAGTTAACAAGGATACCCAGGAACTGAACTCAGCTCTGCACCAAACAGACCTAATAGACATCTACAGAACTCTCCACCCCAAATCAACAGAATATACATTCTTCTCAGCACCATATCGCACTTATTCCAAAACTGACCACATAGTTGGAAGTAAAGCACTCCTCAGCAAATATAAAAGAACAGAAATTATAACAAACTGTCTCTCAGACCACAGCGCAATCAAACTAGAACTCAGGATTAAGAAACTCACTCAAAACCACTCAACTACATGGAAACTGAACAACCTGCTCCTGAATGACTACTGGGTACATTTTGTTAAATGAAGGCAGAAAGATGTTCTTTGAAACCAATGAGAACAAAGACACAACATACCAGAATCTCTGGGACACGTTTAAAGCAGTGTGTAAAGGGAAATTTATAACACTAAATGCCCACAAGAGAAAGCAGGAAAGATTTAAATTGACACCCTAACATCACAATTAAAAGAACTAGAGAAGCAAGAGCAAACACATTTAAAAGCCAGCAGAAGGCAAGAAATAACTAAGATCAGATCAGAACTGAAGGAGATAGAGACACAAAAAACTCTTCAAAAAATCAATGAATCCAGGAGCTGGTTTTTTGAAAAGATCAACAAAATTGATAGACCGCTACCAAGACTAATAAAGAAGAAAAGAGAGAAGAATCAAATAGACACAATAAAAAATGATAAAGGGGATATCACCACTGATCCCACAGAAATACAAACTACCATCAGAGAATACTATAAACACCTCTACACAAATAAACTAGAAAATCTAGAAGAAATGGATAAATTCCTGGATACATACACACTCCCAACACTAAACCAGGAAGAAGTTGAATCCCTGAATAGACCAATAACAGGCTCTGAAATTGAGGCAATAATTAATAGCCTACCAGCCAAAAAAAGTCCAGGACCAGACGGATTCACAGCTCTACCCTCTACTAGAGGCACAAGGAGGAGCTGCTGCCATTCCTTCTGAAACTATTCCAATCAATAGAAAAAGAGGGAATCCTCCCTAACTCATTTTATGAGGCCAGCATTATCCTGATACCAAAGCCTGGCAGAGATACAACGAAAAAAGAGAATTTTAGACCAATATCCCTGATGAACATTTATGCAAAAATCCTCAGTAAAATACTGGCAAACCGAATCCAGAAGCACATCAAAAAGCTTATCCACCATGATCAAGTGGGCTTCATCCCTGGGATGCAAGGCTGGTTCAACATACACAAATCAATAAACATAATCCAGCATATAAACAGAACCAAAGACAAAAACCACATGATTATCTCAAAAGATGCAGAAAAGGCCTTTGAAAAATTAAACAGCCCTTCATACTAAAAACTCTCAATAAATTCGGTATTGCTGGGACATATCTCAAAATAATAAGAGCTATTTATGACAAACCCACAGCCAATATCATACTGAATGGGCAAAAACTGGAAGCATTCCCTTTGAAAACTGGCACAAGACAGGGATGCCCTCTCTCACCACTCCTATTCAACATAGTGTTGGAAGTTCTGGCCAGGGCAATCAGGCAGGAGAAAGAAATAAAGGGTATTCAACTAGGAAAAGAGGAAGTCAAATTGTCCCTGTTTGCAGATGACGTAATTGTATATTTAGAAAACCCCATCGTCTCAGCCCAAAATCTCCTTAAGCTGATAAGCAACTTCAGCAAAGTCTCAGGATAAAAATCAATGTGCAAAAATCACAAGCATTCTTATACACCAATAATAGACAAACAGAGAGCCAAATCATGAGTGAACTCCCATTCACAATTGCTTCAAAGAGAAGAAAATACCTAGGAATCCAACTTACAAGGGATGTGAAGGACTTCTTCAAGGAGAACTACAAACCACTGCTCAACGAAATAAAAGAGGACACAAACAAATGGAAGAACATTTCATGCTCATGCACAGGAAGAATCAATATTGTGAAAATGGCCATACTGCCTAAGGTAACTTATAGATTCAATGCCATCCCCATCAAGCTACCAATGACTTTCTTCACAGAATTGGAAAAAACTACTTTAAAGTTCATATGGAACCAAAAAAGAGCCCACATTGCCAATACAATCCTAAGCCAAAAGAACAAAGCTGGAGGCATCACGTTACCTGAGTTCAAACTATACTACAAGGCTACAGTAACCAAAACAGCATGGTACTGGTACCAAAACAGAGATATAGACCAATGGAACAGAACAGAGCCCTCAGAAATAATACCACACATCTACAACCATGTGATCTTTGACAAACCTGACAAAAACAAGAAATGGGGAAAGGATTCCCTATTTAATACATGGTGCTGGGAAAACTGGCTAGCCACATGTAGAAAGCTGAAACTAGATTCCTTCCTTACACCTTATACAAAAATTAACTCAAGATGGATCAAAGACTCAAATGTCAGACCTAAAACCATAAAAACCCTAGAAGAAAACCTAGGAAATACCATTCAGGACATAGGCATGGGCAAGGACTTCATGTCTAAAACACCAAAAGCAATGGCAACAAAAGACAAAATTGACAAATGGGATCTAATTAAACTAAAGAGCTTCTGCACAGCAAAAGAAACTACCATCAGAGTGAACAGGCAACCTACAGAATTGGAGAAAATTTTTGCAATCTACTCATCTGACAAAGGACTAATATCCAGAATCTACAAAGAACCCAAACAAATTTACAAGAAAAAAACAAACAACCCCATCACAAAGTGGGCGAAGGAGATGAACAGACACTTCTCAAAACAAGACATTTATGCAGCCAACAGACACATGAAAAAATGCTCATCATCACTGGCCATCAGAGAAATGCAAATCAAAACCACAATGAGATACCATCTCACACCAGTTAGAATGGTGATCATTAAAAAGTCAGGAAACAACAGGTGCTAGAGAGGATGTGGAGAAATAGGAACACTTTTACACTGTTGGTGGGACTGTAAACTAGTTCAACCATTGTGGAAAACAGTGTGGCGATTCCTCAAGGATCTAGTACTAGAAATACCATTTGACCCAGCCATCCCATTACTGGGTATATACCCAAAGGATTATAAATCATGCTGCTATAAAGACACATGCACATGTATGTTTATTGGGGCACTATTCACAATAGCAAAGACTTGGAACCAACCCAAATGCCCATCAGTGACAGACTAGATTAAGAAAATGTGGCACATATACACCATGGAATACTATGCAGCCATAAAAAAGGATGAGTTCATGTCCTTTGTAGGGACATGGATGAATCTGGAAACCATCATTTTCAGCAAACTATTTCAAGGACAAAAAACCAAACACTGCATGTTCTCACTCATAGGTGGGAATTGAACAATGAGAACACTTGGACACAGGAAGGGAAACATCACACACTGGGGCCTGTCGTGGGGCAGGCAGAGGGGAGGGATAGCATTAGGAGATATACCTAATGTAAATGATGAGTTAATGGGTGCAGCACACCAACATGGCACATGTAGACATATGTAACAAACCTGCACGTTGTGCACATGTATCCTAGAACTTAAAGTATAAAGAAAAAAAAAAAAGAATAACACAGTGCTAACAGGATCTTGTTGTCTGTTTTTAAAACTTTGCGGGTGGAAATAACTCTTGTCAGATTCTCAAAGAAGCCCATGTGATCAAAAATGATCAGAATCACTGTGTAAAAGATTATCACAATTAATCAAAACTCCTTTTTATTATAGATTAAGCTTTAACCTTTTCAAGCCTTTGTGATAGTAATTCAATGATGAGTAGAGCATACTAAAGCATAAATTTACTTTAAATATATTTTAAAATTAACCTACTGTTTCCCATTTGTCTGCATTATGCAGTGGTTTCTTTACTTATATTTTCTTCTCTTTAGCTGTTTGCTTAGCTATGTTTGTTTTTACTTCTTATACTATACTATGTGTAAAAGCTATGATTAAATTCAATTAAGGGCCTTATGAACATAAAATATAAGATGCTATCGATTTTAATCAATTTGTGATCCAAAACACAAGTCAGAGACTTGGAACTCAGAATCCTAAGGCCCTATCAATCCCCTCCATTCAAACTCAATAAATGCTCATGGAATGACGTAGGAGTAGGGATTTGAGAAAGGCTTTTTAGTCACCAAAGGTTACGTGTCCTTGTACCAAATCATTCAATAGAGGTTACTGAGAAGTCTTCTAAAATTAGTCAACCACATAACCCTTACAGAGCAGAGCCATCGAGGTTAACAATTCGGTAAATACTTCTCTGGTTGCTCAATTCTCTTGCTTTGACAATGTCAATGCATTCATTTAGTTCAGTGTATTAAACTATAGATCTAAAGTCTAAATACACTATATGCTGGTTTGTCAAGAAGGTATCATTATTGCCTTCTCATATCTTCAAATGTTCCTTCTCTCCTGGATCTTTTCCAGCTGAATGTAAACATACTGAAATTGTTCCTATCTTAAAACAAAATAATACACACCAAGAAAACAACCCTTCTGGACTTGCACTTCTGCCCTGAATTTTGGCCTTTCTAGAACTGTTTACACATTCTACAACCCACATCACTGTGGCTTCTCCATGAAAACAACTCTTAATAAGGTCACTAAATGATGTCCATGTTGTCACAACCAACAGAAATATTTCAGTGCTCATTTTACTGAACCTGTCATCAATATCTGGTGCACCTTGATATAGTTCTCTTCCTCTTTTTAAAACATTCTTTCCCTGCCTCATGATATCATTATCTCCAGTCTGTCTCCCCCTCACATTTCTTGTTTCCTCTCAGCCAGATAATCGTCCTCTTTTCTTTGCACTGTGACCTCTCCTCTAGGCTATTTTATCAGTATGGCCTTACTCTGACTTACTGTCTATCTGATATTACCTCTGGAGAAAAATCTGAACTTTCCTTGGGATTGTCTCCCAAGCACACAAGCTGAACCCACACTCCCATCCCACCAAACTGGCTGGCCTCCAGTGATCGCTGAGTCACTCAGTTCTCAGCCATCTGACCTTTTCTCTGAAATCTCTACTTTAAAATCTCATCCAGATTTATAGTGAAGTGTCTCCTCTATGAGAACAAATATGAATAAGTATATTTGCCTCTAACTCCTTCTCTCCAGCTCCATTTGTATATTTCCAAATGCATTTTGGAATTCTCCTCTTGAATTACGTATAATCATACAAAACTGAACAGATCTAAAACTCAACTCATGATCATCTCCAAACTACATTCAGCTATTCCTCCTAATTTCCTAATTTCTACTCAATTTCCAAATTAATTGAACTAAAATGTTAATGACAGTCCTGCTCAGAATAATACATATCTGACTGCTCTTCCAAATCTACCCAGATTTAGCTCTGGACCTCATTTAATCCTGAAACTCTAAAGTAAATCTTCAATTCCTCTATTACCTGCACTTGACAGAGCTCTTGAGGTTGAATCCCTCACGAACAAACTTTCATCTCCAGCCTGGCTGCTGTGCCTACATATTATGTTTGACCTAAAAAAATCACCTAACATTTCATCACTGTACTAAAAAACAAAACAAAACAAAACTTTGGTGCATTAGTAGAGTCATAGGATTTATTCAATTCTTTCCATTATTCTGAAGCCTGGTTTCTAAATAGCCTCTGCATCCAACTACCCCACACCCTAAAGCTTCCTGGCCAATCTATCTGTATCTCCATTGTTTTATTTCCTCCTCACCCATCTCCTGAGTGAATGCTGAGCTAATTTAATTTGCTAAAGCAGTGACCTAAGATAGCTTGTCTACAAACACAAAAAAACAACGGTGAAGTCCATACATAGCTGATAGCTTCTATTTCTTCTTTAAGATGGCCTATAAATTATTGGTTATTACAAAAGAAGAGCTCTGAGGCTTGAGGCATATTTTGAGTTATCTCTATGTTTCAATATTAAGTTACATATTTTTCAGAACCTTGTAAAATAGTTTCTTTGCTCCTCACCAAATACATAGGTATGATAACAAACTACCTAGTTAACTTATTTTCCTAAACTTTAAGATAAGGCACTTAAATGTTTACTTTTGGCCCTACAGAAACACTTACTATTTATAAATACTTCTGATGGATAATTGCTTTATTTTTTAAAAAAAGACAGCTAATTTAAATATTTCAAGTAAACAAAAATTAATGATTTATATGTGCAGAATGATTTATACTTTGATATAGTCAACTCTGATCATGCCTACTCTCCATACACACACTCCTCATTGTATTACTATTTTTCAATTTAATGTGTTGGCTGAGCAGTGACATTTCTTGAAGTCCTATTTTCCAAAGAACTAGCAAATATTGCATTGGAAAGCAGAATTCTAAACCTTTCGCCCACACCATTATTGTAACATGGGATGGAAGGCACTGCGCCTGAGAAAACAGAACATAACAAAACAAAACATCATCCAAGCAAATTAAGTATTTTGAGGAATGCAGTGACATATCTTTCCAAAGTCACAGAAAATTTGTTTCTGGAAGCTCTGATTATAACTTTATGGTCATATCATGAGCTCCTATTATTATCTTTCCACTAAAATACTACTGTAGTACTTCTACAATTATAGGCAAAACGGAAAAGCTTTTTATGGGAAAAAATTAATGTAAGATTTTACAATACTGTTGAAACAGTATTGTAACAGCAAACAACTCAATTTCAATTTTACCTTTCTAATTTCTTTTCCCACCTTCAGGATTCAAGAATATGTAGTTGTTTGAAACCCATACGGAATAGTGAGAAAACTTGATGGGGCTGGGAAGTAGGATCTCTGAGTAACTGTCCTCCCTCTGCTGGGTCTCTTTTTGCATTTCTTTTAGCTCAAATATTTGCCCTTCCTTTTATTCCTTCACATTCTCTCCCTTAAGAATTTCAGCCATTCCTGCCCTTTCAACCACAATGTCTATGGAGTAATAAAGAACAAGTCTAGTTCTCCAGTTGACACTCCTAACTCACTTTTTTCTGAACTTGTATAAGCCAGGCACTAGGCTGTAGGCTAAACATTAAAAGATGAGTAAGACAGACTCTGCTTTCAGTGAGATTACATTTTAATACAGAAAGGTAGATTAACAGATCAATAGATTAATAGATTAATAGATCAACCAAGCCTGCTGTGGGAGACCCAAAAAAGGGGCAATTCGCCCAAAATGGGGCATCAGGAGATGATGACTAAGATGAGTTCTGAAAAAATGTGTAGAGATTAAGAATGCAAAGAGAGTTATGAGAACATACCAGGCTGAGGGGAGAGGAGAAACAAAGGCATTCAGCAGTGTTTCACCTGACCATGTGTACAGACATGTCTATGCATTACAGTGGAGGCAAAATTCCAGGTGCAAGGAGTTAGACCTGGAGTTTGCAGATGGTGAAAGGAAGGGGAAATAGTAAGGTCAAGGAAAGATATTTTTACCATTTTACCAGTGATTCACAAGGAAGGAGGGGAAATCACTTTATGGGCTTTTCTAATTGCCCTGCCCAATTCTGCTTAATCCCTTTTTAAAGCTGTGTGCCCTACCCAGATTGTCTCCTGGAGAATCTTGGCTGTACTCCTACTGGTGGGGAGTATGCATTATCCCTCTGGTATATTCTGAAAAACTCCTCAGTTATAAATGCAAGAGAAAATCACCAAAAAGACAAAGAAGCGAAGCCTAAAAAGAAAACAAAGAAAGGTCATAGACCTCAGAAACCAAAAAATAGTTTTAAAAAAAGAAAGCAGAAAAAGCCTGTACAATATAAACTGGGTTTCAGTCCTCCCATAGGTCCAAATGTCTCCTGTAGAGCTCATTAGCATCCCAAGCTCAACATGGCTAAAACCAATTCATCATTTCCTTTTCGATAACCGTTCATTATTAATGTACAAAAAAAAAAAAAAACTGCAAAGGTAATCACGGTGCAGATGGTAGGGCAGGTTAATACATAGCAGTATTGGCTACAGGTGAGAAAGCACCCTGATTCTATATAATTCCAACCATGGAATTTTTGTATTACAGAGAGAAAAGAAAACACAATTTTTCAAAAAAAGTATATATGGGATATGATGTCCTTTAGATAAATCATATAGACCTGTGTGATATTAATAGCTTCAGAAGAACGGGCCATCCCAGGCTCCGTAGACTGGTTCATTCCTACTCATCTAGTATCTTCTCTAATAATTTAGCTTTTCAACAACAGCAAACTGTTTGTAGTTCTCTGAATAAAACATATGAATTCATGAATTTACATAGAGGGGAGCAACACACACTGGGAACTTTCAGAGAGGGAGGTGGTGAGAGATGGGAGAGGATCAGAAAAAAATAACCAGTAGGCACTAGGCTTAATACCTGGGGGATGAAATAATCTGTACAACAAACCCCCATGACACATGTTTACTTATCTAACAAACCTTACTTATCAAACAAACAAAAAGAAGAGCACACACACACAGAGAGAGAGAGAGAAAAGAAAAAAGAAAAACAAAATCCTTTGGCCTTGAATGCCTCCCTCTATTCTCAACTCCCTAAACTATCTTTGTCTTGTCTTTCAGGTCCCCATCCAGGCATTGACTTTTCCAAGAAGCTAACATTCCTGACCCCTCTATGAACCTTAATACTAATGATCATAACAGCAGCTAACACATATCGAACACTTCATCTGAGCCAGTCTGTATTCTAAGCACTAAGCAGTACCAATTCAAGTCTTCTTCATAACAATCCTATGAAGTAGGTACTAATAATATCACCATTTTAGAGATGAGACGCTGATGCAAAAAGAGGCTAAGTAACCTGCCCAAAGACACATCACTGGTGAGTAGCAAAGCCAATATTTGATCCCAACCAGGCTAGTTTCAGAGTCTGTGCTCTAATTACTATACCACACTGCTTCTATGTGATTAAAAATAAAAATGAGATGATTGTAGTTACTTCCATCTACATAACGCTCTTCACTGTCTTGTTCAGCATTTATGTTCAATGATATACTAGGACTGGATATGTATTTCTCTATGCATACTAAATGCAGAATATCAAGTATGGGGTGTAAATTAATGCAAAAATTCCTAAAAAGTATAAAATTTCTTTAAAAGCATTTTGTTAGAACTTAATTTTTACAAAAATATATAGATGTAACTGGCACATGTAAAACATACTAAGATTTACCATTCCTATAAGAAAAGTGTCTTTGAGTCTAATGAAAACCCTTGGCAATTTGAACATTATATGATACTAAATTATACTATAATTATTTCAAAGGTCAAGAATCTTAAACATTTAGTCTTAAAACTCTCCACCTGGGTGATGCAATCAGAAAATTAAAGTATGTATGAAAATATTTAATTATACAAAACAAGTAGAAATCTACAAATTTAATAACCTTTAAATAAAATGTGCAATTTTTTTGCCACATGGTTTTTTTTTCCTCCATTGCAAAAATGGAACTTTTTAAAAGAACATTTTTTTTGGTGAATATGAGCACACATTTTATTTTCCAGGGCTGGTTTCAAGGAAGGGTAGGATAAAATGATTTGGAATAGAGCATTGTATCACGTGTTAACTCATGAGAAACTTTTTTATGTTGGGCACCACTGTACAATAAAAAAAAAATTGACTTAGATTCAGTCCAGCCTTTTCAGGAATTCACAGTCTAGTAGGAAAAGGAAAACAGAGAGCACAGGTGTGAGAGTTGTTTTTAAAACTGTGGTAAGAAGGGCTTTAAGAGGCAAATGTATACTAAGAAGAAGATCCCTGCTTGGCCCACAGCTGTAACACCATTAACATCCTATATCATGTTGAAATGTCTGATAAATTACCTTTTTTTCAGAAAACTTTAGTCACACAAAATAGCACAGAGGTTAGGAACATGGATTGTGGAACCAGAATGTCTGAGTTTGAGTCTCAATTTTACCATGCACCTGTTGCCTTTGGTTGCTTCCTTTAACTTCTCTGTGTCTCGGTTTCCTCATTTATAATTAGATAATTTCATATAATTCATAGAATTGCAGCGTTGTTGGGAGGACTAAATGAGTTCATGTGAGAGAAGCAAGTAGCACATAGAAGGCACTCTAATTATATGAATCAACATCGCTTAAAAAGTACCTGATGGGGATGCCGAGGTGGGCGGATCACCTGAGGTCAGGAGTTCAAGACCAGCCTGGCCAACGTGGTGAAACCCCATCTCTACTAAAAATACAAAAAAAATTAGCCAGGCGTGGTGGTGGGCGCCTGTAATTCCAGCTACTCAGGAGGCTGAGGCAGGCGAATCGCTTGAATTCGGGTGGCAGAGGTTGCATTGAGCCGAGATCGCACCATCGCACTCCAGCCTGGGCAACAGAGTGAGACACGACCTCAAAAAAAAAAAAAAAAAAAAAAGTACCTGATGAAGTGCAGGCTTCTTTGTTCTCAGTTCTTCAGACACTCACAGTTAAAGACATGTTAAAACATCTTGCCAACCCACAGACTCAATTATGGCTGGTTCAAACCCTACCTCTGTATAAGCAATGGATCATGTCTTAGCAGTGTTTTTGCTATCCTGGTTAGAAAAGACGCCCTTAGAGTTCTTAATCAAACACTAGAAAATTTGTAAATATTTTATTCCATTATCTGAACCAAAAAAAATGTTATTCCAGTTGTTGATAAAATTTATATGTGGCACAAAAATCACAACCACAAGCACCATGTACCCAGACATACAACACATTGTCAAAGTGGGCATGATTAGCTGCTTTGAGAATTTTAGTTAAGATTATTTTGCTACTTGTTTGCTCATTTGCCTTTGGAAGAACAGGCATAGAAGATGATGATTTAACAAAAATGTGAAGCAGAACAGTCATAAAACTGAGAAAAGCCTTGTACTATGGTTTGAATGTCACCTCTACAAAACTCAGATGTTGAAATGTCATGGACAATGTGATGATATTAAGAGGTAAGTCCTTCAAGAGGTGATTTGGCCATGAGGGCTTCTCCCTAATTAATGAGATTAAGGCCATTACAAAAGAGGCTTCATGCAGTTTTTGATCTCTTGCGCTTCTGCTTTCCGCCATGTGAGAACACACGCTCCTCCCTTTCCAAGGATGCAGCAACAAGGCATCATCTTAGAAGCAGAAAATGGTCATCTCCAGACAACCTAACCTGCCAGCACCTTGATCTTGCTCTTCCCAGCCTCCAGAACTGAGAGAAAATAAACTTCTGATCTTTATCAAATACCCAGTCTCAGGTGTTTTATTTATTTATTTATTTTAGAGACAGGGTCTCACTCTGTCACCCAGGCTGGAATATAGTGGCACAATCATAGCTCACTGTAACCTCAAACTCCTGGGCTCAGATGGTCCTCCCACCTCAGCCTCCTGAGTAGTTAAGACTACAGGTGCATGCCACTGTGCCCAGGTAGATTTTTTTTTTTCTTTTTTGTAGAGATGAGATCTTGCTATGTAGCCCAGGCTGGTCTTGAACTCCTGGTCTCAAGCGATCCTCCCCAGTGGCCCTCTCAAACTGCTGGGATTATAGATATGAGCCAACCTGACCAAACTTTAGTCTCAGGTATTTTGTTATAGCAGCACAAATAGACTAAGACACCTAGCCACTAAATCTCCCCATTCTTATTGCTTTATAAAAAAATCATTTCCATCCATTTTTATTTGCACAATAAATCATGCTGCCTATTCAAGGCCTACTGTTCTGACATATGGGCCTCCTGAAATTCAGGTGCTATTTCTGTTCACCACAACTGTTTCTGCCCCTGCCCCATTCTGCACATCAGGTTTTAGGTGTTTCCTCAACAAGAGATCACATATTCTATAGAGCAAGAGATCTATCCTGAGAGTCAAGCAGGTGCTGTAAAAAGAGACTCACAGAATCTTGGAACCGAACTTAATTTTTAAAATTATCTAATCCAAACCCTTCATTCCACAGAAAAAGCAGGCCCATAGAAACTCAAGTACCCCAGCAAGCTGGTGGCAGAATTGAGAATGTTTTTCCTTTTAATTTGCCATCTACCAGTTCAACGGATTTTTTGTTTTGTTTTGGTTTTGGTTTTTATTACAGTACATTGCCAGAGAATAAACATAACTTCAAAACTGAAAGTCAGAAGAAACACAAAATTTTAGGGCACAACCTTAAATACTAACAAATCATGAAGATATCGAACTTTGAGAAAAATATGGACAATCAAATTTTAATCTAGATTCAAGCAATCACAATAAAACAAACCTACAATTGTCTAAATTCTATAGTCTTACAATGAAGATATGGATAAGACTTTGCAAAATGTGTTTATACATTTAAATTTGTATTTTATGCTCCTCATGTCTCCAACCCAATCTGGAACATATTTTGTGATAAAAGCAGATTACACAGATTACAAGGGACTTCCCTTATCCAGAGCTCTGTGGTAGGCCATAAGTGTGAATGTGAGCATGAGAGAAGAGAAAGAAAAAGTAAAAGAGGGAGGGAAGGGGGAGAATAAAGGAGAAGGGAGAGAAAGAGGAAGAGTAAAACTGTATCTCATTCATATACCGGTGATTTTCTTCCTCCTTCGTATGTTACTTATGAAGCTGCATTCCTACATTACAAATAAATTCAGACATGGTATTAAAGGCAAGCAATAATAAAAAAATTTATAAACATTCCATAAGCTATTTCAAGTTAGGACTGATATGCGAATGTTACCATTCTTTAATACAAAAATAAGTAAATATCAAATGGAAAATAAGAGGTTAGGGACGTAATAAGTGAATTCAAATGTATAAAACAAGTACATTTCAATTGCATTCAATTATTTCACCCGATCACCTAGAAGCGAAGATCCTCTAAAGAAAATTGCATTGCTTTCCCAACTCCTTGGAGAGCCAGTTTAGTTAACAGCCTACCTATGCTTCAGAGATGACCATGCAGCTTACATGTCAAACTCATTTTAAAGTGTCAATCAAGTCCCTTTCAATCTAATTAGTTTGGAAAGTAGTGTCACTGACCTGGAACTATGCAGACCATTTATTATCATATCATTTGATCAACCTAACACTTTATCTCAGTTGAGTTTGAGACACCTGTAGCCAAAATGCAATATCCTTTCTCCCACTCATTACTGGTAATTCTCAATACAATTTCCTATTTACAACTCAATTTGTCTCTATGAATAAGCATGACCAACTTCACAGAGGCATTCCACAAAATTTCTCTTACTTAAGATTTCATAGCAAAATAGAAAGGAAAGGGGAATAAGGAGAAATATATGTATATCAGATACATATAACAGATTCAAGACTTTAGACATCCAATAACTGCTAAAAGGGGAAAGGAGGAAAACCAGAGAACCATGGATACATGGAAAGAAATTTGGATCCTTAAATATGGGAGATTTTTATTTTTGAAATATAATACAATGAATCATGTAAAGGGAGTCTGTTTTAATTGTCACCATGTGCAATTTGATTAATAAAGAACTTTCTCAGGTTCATAGTATTTAACCTGCTTTTAACCCAGCCAAGGGCAGGATGAGATAGAACTGAAGAGGTAATAACTAGTTCTCCAGGGGACAGAGAACACAGCCAAGTGTCTCTAAAGGAGGAGGTGAAGACCAGACCACAGTGAGGCTGAAATGGGATGGGAGTGGAGATGGTTGCAGGTGCTGGCCAACGTGGCGGCTGGAAGATGCTGGTCAGTCAAGCAACAGAAATCACCTGGCCTATTCCCTGGCAAGAGCATGAAAATTACCTAATCTTTCTCTCATTTTAGCTTTGTCTATTTAAGAACCGATTTGCAAGACAAAAATACAAGCAGGTAATCTTATCTCTGAACTATAGAATAACATATTGCATCAGGGAGGGATAAAAATACACACACACACTCATGTATGCCATCAAAATGTTGTATTTATATTTTTAAATGTGGCATTAAAAAAAGAAGTATAGCAGTTATATTTAAAGTAATGACTATTCACTCTAGAAGACGATTATCTAAAAGCAGGATGTCAGCTGCCACTGCTTCCTTTTCTATCTTGTGCTTTCCTTTGGGAAAGTTAATCTGCATTTTACCAAAATTCCTGTTTGTCTGAAGGATAAGCAAGATTCTTCAATTATATATGCTTGATCAAATAATTACCAGGAAATATTATTTTACATCTGGTCAAATAAAATCTACATATATCTCAAACTTACCTTCAGGTGAAGAGCCTGTCTTTTGGGAAAAGACAGCATTTACTTTGCTCTTCTTACTGATATCGCTGTTTACAGACAAGCTGGACTGAATTTTTCTATGCATTTTTTGAGAAACAGGTGCTGAAAGTTTGCGATTATCTGCGGATCCGTGTTTGGCCCCGTGGTGAATTCCATTTCCATTGCTCAGACCTGTGTGGCCGTTCTTTATCTTGCCTATTTCCTCACCACTTGGCACCTGGGCTGAAGTCTGAAGCTGAGGCAAGCGCTGAGGTTGGGCTAAATTAAAAACAGGAAAAAGTCAGCCAGTTAAAGAAAAAGAAATTAATATTTTAAAATAATGAAAATACATTCAGTAACAGAGATTTGGGGTTTTACCCATAATACTAACACTGAAGAGGCAACAAAGAAAAGAAAGAAAAATACTAACATAGACATAGAGAAAGTATAATTTACTAAAATGGAAAATGGGAACGGGGTCATCAAAAGTGGGTTTGTACAAGGATATAAAAAGTAGACCATAGAAATACTGTTTTGGGCGGTTTTAAAGAAAATTTAAGTTAGAAATCTGAAAAGGTAATTTAAGACTCATTCAGAGAATGTTGATTATTTTCTATATGCTGAGCCCTCTTTGTGCATAGACACAACAGTGTTATCTCAATACTACTACTAATAACAAACTACTCAATTGTCTTTTCAAATAAAAGGAAAGAAATGATAAGTTCTGGTATTCAAAGCCAGACAATACAAAGAAAAATACAGTGTTTTTAAAAAAAATCCCATTGTGAATCCTGCAGAAGAAAATCTTTTCTATATTTATTCTTTAATTTGATTTTTAAATAAACAAGTTATGAAAAATTAGGAATACAAGATAATTTCTTTAATAAAACATATCTACCAAAATTAAATGTCAGGACTTTAGAAGTATGTCAAATGCCCACCCTTACGTGACTTATGCAATATTGTGCAGGAGATCATAGTACAAGCAATAAACAAGACAAAGAAATTTAATAGGTCTGACTTCTAGACAGGAATGAACAAAATTTTTGAGATGTGCACAGATTTGGATGTTCTGGGGAACATTCAAATATATAGTATATATATAATCTAAGTTTAAGACTATAAAAACTGAAAGTCTAAAAATGTAGCAAGATTGATACACAACCATATAAAATCAACAATGCTCCTGTAAGCAAAGAGTATAACCGATTAACAAATAAACAAGAAAAATAACTCTTCACAATAGCAAAAAAAGAAAGAACAAGCCAACAAACAAACAAAAGATGCTATACGTATTTTGGAATTAAACTAGAAAAAAATGGGCAGAGGTTTTATGGCAAAAATTACAAAACACTACTGAAAGTCATAGAAAAAACCCAAATAAGTGGAGAGAGTATAAATATGTTAATTATGTTAATTCTCTCCGATTTATTATTTAATGCCATTTCCATAACATTTCCAACAGGCTTGTTTATGGAACTTGACAAGCTGATCCAAAAATGTATATGGAAGAGTAATCAAGAAAGACCAAGGAAATTTTTAGAAGAAAAAGAGGGTTGTAGGATTTGATGTATGAGATATTTCTATCACAGCACCTAAAGCAGTACAGCATTGGACCAGGCATAGACATACAAGCCAATGAAGCTTATGAAATTATTGAGCCCCAAATATGGGACTCATATATTAATATAAGGTAGACATGCACACACCTACATATTTGGGTACAATATAAATAATATGCATAATTATTTTATTATACCAATTAATATAATAATATTAATATAAATATTAATGGTTATATCAATATAATCTAATATAATTATGTTGATTATGTAATTATTATATAATACATATATAATATTTATGTGATATATAAAATATATAAATAAAATATAATTAATTATATAAATGTTAATATTTATACAATTAATATTTGGGTATAGTATACTTAATATAATTAGTACATGTAAATTCCAAATGTATTAAATGCCTATATATAAAAAACAAAACTTTTTATTTAAAGTGTAAATAGAGGAGACTGTTTTAATAGCATAAGCACAAACAAATATGATTTTTTAGACAATGAATCATAAAACAAATGTGAATATTCACCTGTTGTGTTGTGTTGTCCAGCATTCTGGTCACACTCATGGAGTTAGGTAAATTCCTCTACGACATCCCTAGGCTACTCTGGAGCTAGAGGACAAGGATGTGACCTAAGTTCTGCCAGAAGAGAAGTATGGCTTGCATTTGGAAGTGATCAATGCAAGCTGTTAGCCACACCAGGGTGGTGGAGCCTCTCAACACAGGGAGTGAAGAGGTATTTGTTGATTTTAGCAGTGAGGGACAACTTATGGTGTCCCTCACCTCCTAGCAAAACAGTGGCCCAGTGCTACAGCAGTGGGGTTTTCAACAGAACAGCCCTACTGAATGGATGGACATGATCCTTGTCTGTATAACTCTGGGAGCATCTATGTGCTGCTAATAAATTTATTTTCTATTTAAATTAGCCAAGATATTTGCAGCTAAAAGCCTTGATGCCCCCCAAAAGTTATCTGTTTACATCGATTAAGTATTAAAATCATCATTATCTTCATTATATACATTTTAAGCAAAGCTATATATCACAGCTTTTCAGCAAAATCACCAGCAACAACAAAAAACATTCATTGTGAAAATTTTACTGTGCTATACTTTCCTGGAATTTCAAAATCTAAAACTTACTGTTTTAATTAGTCTTTTTTTCTGTTCGCGATTATAAGCAATTATGAAATGTAAATTACATAAGACTATGAAGAACTCTTCCACTTGGAAAAGTATTACATTTAAGGTTGTAACAGTTATACGTGGGGTTGATAAATGTGCTAAAGAGGACTTATTATCTTTGGTGACTACGTAAGACTTGAAGCATTTTTCAGAAAAAAAAAAGACAGTTTGCATCTGAGTAAGTCTTTAGTAAGCCATTGTTTACTTCAGTTCTTGTTCATACATCCTATGTATTGTGAAGAAAAACATCTTAACATATCAAAATATTCTACTCATTTATTAGCATATTTTAAGAAAAATGATGGATTTTTTACTTAAATGTACACTTTCACACCAAGTCTATTAGCATTAATATCTGATTTATAAAAACTAATATAGAACATCCTGTTACCGTTTTTCAGTTCTTTAGTGATAAAGAGGAATAATAGTCTAAAAGTAAACATCTGTTTAGCAGTTATATATGCCCTTTTCATAACTAAAATCTACAAAGCCTCTGTAAAAGGAGATCTATTTCTACGGGTGTGCAATGGTTTGATTTAGAGATGAATTTGCTGCTTCTGTAACTTCTTGTATCAACTAGAATGACATTCTAATGACCGCTATTGAACATAAAGCTAGTTATGCATACATATTTAAAAAGATGCCAAAAAAGACAGTTAAACCTAATTTGGTTTTTCCTCTGGAAAGCCACTTTTTCCTCTGGAAAGAATAATTCAAGCAATCTGAGAGCTTGATTGAGTTGAAATGTCATTGACCAAAGCTGGGGAGACTCCTTGTCAATCAAAAATGTCTTGTCATATTTCATAATTCAAAATAAATTTAGAATTACTATGTAATAAATATTTTTAGTAAATAAAAATAAGAGTGGTAAAAGACACTTGTATCCTGGCTACCAAATTCTAAAACTGACATATTTGACCTTTTTCTGCTATCAAAATTGACTATTTGCAAATTACTAGGTATGGCTGGAGTGATATTCTCACGCATCCTTAATGGTTTATCTACATTTCAATCTTTAAAATGATATCCATTTCTGTTGGCAGATAAATAATAGTACATTATTTTTGTTTCACTGTCACCTAATTATTTTCACTATAGTTTGGATTATGATCAGATAACCAAGTATTATCCCTTTACTCTAGTTTTTTTAACATTAAAATATTTATTAGTTGAATGATTTTGCCAGATGTGTGTATTACGTAAGTCAAATCAAAACTGGATAAGCCTTAAATACATTAGCTATCTCAACAGAAATTAAATTTAACTTTATTGTTAATTATTTATGGGTATGACTTGAATCTTATGGTAAAATTAGAGTTAAAACCAAGTAGGAAACATGATTTTATTTTCAAATGAAGAACAAAAACACCTGACGGATTAAACCACAACAACTTGGCTTTAAACAGATTTCCTTCCTTATTGTGTCAAAGTTGTGTATGGCTTTAAAAAAAAAAAAAGCATGCTAATATGGAAACGACACAATGCTTCTTAAAACACAAGTGATGCCTAGGGACCCTCACTCTCCCTTTAATGATCCACTGCTCTCATTCAGCTGTCTTTCTTTTTTCAAATCTTTACATATGTGACAGCTCTCAAAAGTAGACCATAGACCATCTGGCATTTTTCAGAGGTGTAACTTGTGCAAATTCAGCTCTATTGGGAGTGCACTGCTATCTTCTGCCTGCGTTATAAAGGGACAATAGAATGTAGAACTTATGAGTTGTTTTGAATTATTCATTTTTTTGCCTGTATGTTCACGAAATTTTACAAACTCTGCATTTTGTACTACATAATCACATGCGTTAAAGGTACAAAGAAACTTTTTGACACCTCTTTTCTAAAGAAAGCTGGCATTTTGTTTGATATGTGAACATTCAGCATCTGTTATATCATTCTAAACAGGATAGGTGCTTCTACAAAAGACCCCATTTTAAATTTACTCCATAATACTAGCAAAAAAAAAGTATTCTTGATATTCAGTAATGAATGCAATACACATCAAAATTTCAAATACCACTTATAAGAACATTCAGCATCTTCAAACCTGGATAGCATTGGTCACCGGCTTAGCATATGTGTAAAGATTAAAAAAAAAAAACATTGCTGACACAATACAGCATGATTGTAATTTTAATATCCATGATGAATAGTTACAAATGACTTAAGAAATACTGCACTTTCTAGGTTCAAATGTTTTCAATCAGGAAGGAAACCAATAGAATTAGGTCTAGCGATTTTCAATAAGAATAATAAATATGGGAGTAAATGAGTCAATAGCATGAACTTCTTTTGACAATTTTTTTAAAAAACTGGTGATATTGTAGCTAGTAATAACTATACTTGAAACCACAGCTGCTGGAGTAGCAATATAAAGCAACATTTTGCTATAGTGTATAATCTATTAGCATGTGCAAATCATCTTCAGCCACTGGTCACTTTACACAAGTCAGATTTAATAAAATTACAAAAGAATTCTCATGCTATTCAGTTTAAATGGTTGTTGTACACATAAAAAAATCAAAATTAAATGCTCAGGATGTAAAATTGTCAGTAACAAAATGATCAATGTAGAATATGGAGGGGGAAAATGACTTGGTGTAAATCTAAATGACTTTTCCCAGGGATGGCAACAAAGCTTTTACTGGTGCCCAGGACTTTGCTACTCCATGGTCACAATGGGACAAATATACACACAGATAGTAGAAGATATATATATATATAATATGCATATATATGCAATTATTTGCATATATACAACAGCTTTAAAAGGAAGATGAAAAGTTATTTCAATATGAACTAACATGATAAAAACTATCTTACATTTTTATTGCTATATAATGTGAATTTAGGCTAAAATCAACTAAAATAAACATCCTAATACCCAACTCTTTTCATCAACTTGATCCAAATCTTCCTCAATATGGAGACCCTACATGGACCCTATATCCCAATACTGACATAGTCTAGAAGCTTCTGGCACTTTCTGTATCTGTTTCTTTAGTTCCCTGGCAAGGGCCTTCTAATCTTTTTTTTATTTGCCTCTTGAGCTTCTGGACTCTTTTATGACATCATATTTTCCATCTTTATTTTATTTGATGTATATATTTAACATACTGAAATACATTTTGGAATTCTGACATTTTTTGGAACATTGATCAATTTAAGGATCCCAGTCAAATTCTGTAACTACCTGGCTGGGAACTCGCAAAGGAGGCAATTGTTTTATGATTATATCACATCTTACAGAATTTTTAACATTAGTTCGGTTTTAATGATTGCAAAATAAATCTCCAGATGACAACAGGAAGTACAACTACCCCCATCCCCAAAGAAAGGATAAAACTTTAGAAGTTGTGTTTAGAGAGGCAATAATTTTTCTGCATTTCATTAAGAACATTTAGAGAGTACTTAGATTTAAATAATGCCTGGAGTAAGAGATTCTTCTCCAAATTAATTTTCCCAATTGTCCTGAGTACGTGGCTAGTCCCATTTCTCAGCTTTCCCTTGCAGTTAGGTTCAGGTATGTATCTACGTTCTCTCTAAAGGAATGAGAGCAGGAATTATTTCTGCCACTTTTAGGATTGGGCCTTAAAACCCGGGTGTGCCCTCTCTATACTTTGTTTTTTGCAGTTGGCAGCAAACCAGTTTTGACCACAGCTGAGTGAAATATCTTAAGAGATGTTCCAGAGACCAAACAAAAGGAATCTGTATGGCAGCAGGGAGGGGAGCCTCTCACTGACCTGGAATGCTCATTTCCTACTGTTCCATAGGGAATTAACTTTTATCCTATTTAAACTATAGAATTAATGCTGAGACTCTATAAAACATTAATAGCTTCTATCAAGGCCTATTAACAACTATGTACTGTGAATATACACATATATACACATATATTCATATATATATATATATATATACACACACACACGATACATAAACTGCCTTTAGCCCAAATGACTTAAAATATGCCAAATTTCACAAGAAGGAAATGTTTAAATGATGATCGGCTAAAAATATAAACAATCTATTAATAACATATAAACAATCTCTTAATAGTAGTAGAAAGAATGCTACTAAATCCACAGCTACAGTGGACCTTAGAAAGTAGACAATCTGAGCCAGGTGCAGAGCCTAGCACTTTGAGAGGCTGAGGTCGGAGGATCACTTGAGCCCAGGAGTTTGAGACCAGCCAGAGCAACATAGTGAAACTCTGTTTCTACAAAAAATAAAAAATTAACCAGGTGTGATGGCACATGCCTGTACACGGGAGGCTACAGTGGGAGGATGGCTTGAGCCCAGGAGGGCAAGGTTATAGTGAACCATGATCAGGCCACTGCACTCCAGCCTGAGTGACAGACGGAGATCCTGTCTCAAGAAAGAAAGAAAAAAAAGAGAGAAAAAGAAAGTTGACAATCTTTACAATGCAGGGTCTAATTATTAATGAGGTATAATAATGATATCATGTAGTTTTGCAGAAAAAGTATCCATCCCACCTTACTTTGCCATTTGAAGACCATTATGTAAAATTTCCTCAAATTTCCATCCTAATCATGACTAGGAGGATATCAGATGGGTGACCCAACAATCCCAGTTTACTCAGGTCTAAGGGGGTGGTAGAGTGGGGTGGGGCTTCCTGGGATGAAGAATTTTTAGTTTTAAACCAGGTCGGTCCCCGGCAATCTGGGATGAGTTGATCACCTTTGTATCAGGAGTAATGTATGTGTAACTGCTAACAGCTTTCCTCAAACAAGATATTGGCAAAAATAAATAGTGGTAAGCCTGTAGATTTTGAACAAGACAAACCGGGGTTTGAATGCTAGAGTCAGTATTTCCCATTTCTGTGGTCTTACAAAAGTTACTTCACCCCTTACCCTAAACATTCCCTCCCTCCCCCACATTAGGACTTCATATGCAAATGAGAGAAATGACAGATCCTCCTATGTACGGGGAGGCCTAGCTTCCCAGCCTCTAACCCTTGTTTTTCCATTTCCTTATCCTCCTCTACATAATTTTTCCCCATTTATTCCTGAATTACTATTTGTCTTTTGTTTTTTTATTCTGTGTTATTAACTTTTTTTTTCTGTAAATCAGCCCAAAGCCTTTTTGCAAATAAACATTTTCAAGTTAATATACAAACATTTTCTTTCACTTTTCAGAAAAACTATGATGTGATAGAAAAGTAAATCCAAATATAAGAGTTTTAAAGAAAATAATCAGCATTTTCTTTTAAGATCTGCATGTATTACTAAAACATCCCCAGATAGTAAACCAATGAAGAAAAAAAAATCCACTATATTTTATCCAAGTATAGCTTTTCTCTAATGCTTATTATCCAGAGAAATTAACAAGAAATTATGATGTACAAAAGCTAGCCTGATGTAAAGCCAAATTTGTCATTCATTTGAGGATAAAAGCACAAAAGCAAGCAATACAGGTCACAAAGTATGCAAGAAGACCTCCCATTAAGAAGCATACAGCACTCTCAGGTTTCAATTCAATGAATATATTGACAAACTTAGATAGATGCAGAACGCTTTTCTGATAGAGGTCCCAGACCCAGCCCTGCTTTTGGATCCCTTTACTCCCCTCTGTGTGATTCAGGCTCTCTGATAAAACAAGGATATATATAAAAAAGTTTGAAACCAAGAATTCCGACCTAATATAAACACCTGTATCAGAAGTAGATTGTTGAAATGTGAAGTTAGGTAAGTAAAGGCAAGAATGGGAACAATGAGATCACTCCATCCTAACCTGAAAAATCAGCAGTTAATATTAAAGAGCAGCTCATCAGTTCTTGAAATGTGTATACTAAGACTGGATCTTCATGGTACTCTGCAGAAAACTGTCCATATATTTGTATGTTAGACTTTTTATGGCCTTCAGAAGTTCCTACAACAAAACAATACACTTCATTCTAACTAGTTGAAGTAAAAGCCAACTAGAAAAAGTAGACAGCTTTATTAAAAGCTGTTTTTTTACCTACAGGTGATACAGCCATAGCCAGCAATGTGCAAATAAATTTCTTATTGTGTAAACTCAAAAAGGTCCTCTCCTCTGTAGAGACACATTTCAAAAAGTCATGCTTGCTGTGGTTCAAGCGCTGGTGAGTAGAGGAAGAACTGAAGTTCAGCCCCCACTTGCCTTTATGCAATTCACACATGTACAAACTAAGGAACAGCCTTGGTAGCCAGGGATCTGAGACCACTAAAGTCATGATAATCATATACATGTTAGCTGAATTTCAGCAGCCAAGTTACTTGTTTGAGTTTAGTATGCTGACTAAAGTGCTGGAAATATTAGGGAGGAGATTGAACTATTGAAGACTGAAACTCCAGGCTCATCCAAGTGCCTTCCCCACTCACTGCCTTTAAGTCATTCAGATCATTCATTCACAAGGAGTAAATCCTGGGGAAGGCGCAGCAACCCAGGTCAAGCCTCACCACTTGCAGAAGTACAGCTAGTGACAGGAAGCTATTAAATTGATACAAAAGGCG
Source organism: Homo sapiens (assembly GCF_000001405.40). Lineage (NCBI taxonomy): Eukaryota > Metazoa > Chordata > Mammalia > Primates > Hominidae > Homo > Homo sapiens. Next base: position 114,970,524 of record NC_000007.14, on the reverse strand, counting down.
ATATGGATAGCCCAGAGCCCAAAAACGAAAGTGGTAAAGCAAGGGACCAGAGTCAAAGATCATTATTTGACACAAATTTGGAGCCAGTGACCAGAAAATGAAATCCTCTACTGCCACCTACAAAAAAATAAGATAGATAAGCAATCAACAAAAATAATAAAGAAACTGTATTGCTAGAAACATCCCCAGCCTAGCAAATAAATGCTTATGACTGTTCCACCCTAAGGGAATCTGAATCCAAGTCCTTGTTGCCAACAAAGAAAGAACTGCTAAGGCCCCTGCAAGGGAATCCTCCCTGAACCCCTTCTCAGAGATGGCTATGAAGGTCCCCAAACAAGGGGAATCTTCTTAACAGATAATCCTTCAGTAACAAATCCACTGGGACAGAACCCAGACCAAGGTCAGGGAAGAAACTCAACAACAAGATGCTTATGATAGTCCCTGGCCATATTATCTTCTGTACCAGCCCTAACCAGGGAAAAATGGTGCATTCCCTAGACCAGCACTGTACTTCAGAGTTTACACTGTGGCTATCCTACGTTCTGCCTATCCAGAGGTGTTTTAAGCCACATGTTGCAGGATCATGAAGGGCTACTTCCAAATTTGATTTAGGACAGATTTCTGAATTACTTCAGAAGAGGAACAAACATCACCTAGAGGTCTGTGGAATAACATGACACTAGCTCTAGATGCTTCATCTGGATGTTACTTTGATTTGTTTCTCATTAGGGAGAGAAGTACATATACGTTTGTGTGAGGGATCATTGGATCTCATTAAGTAGAAACATTGTGACATCATCTGCATGTTTATACACACATAAGTGTGTGCTGATCAGCCAAAAACAAGACCATAGTAGATAACTGCTCTTGGTCTATCCAATTCACCCCTTTCTTCTGGTAGCAGTATAGATACTGCGTCTGGGACCTCAATTTACTGACATGAACCCTTCACAAAAATAAAGTATTTTTAATAGAATACATTTTATACACAGAGTTTGACAATACTGGGCATTTGCTGACTTGCCTTGATTATTATATAGAGTTCCTTCAGTACAAGATCCTATATTCTTAGAATTCCGTCAACCGTATCAGACACATATATGCTGACAAAGAGCCTTGTATGATGTTCAGCACCCAGTGGACACCAAGTGAAAATTAACTGATGATGATGAATTATACTAGCTTTTAAGCTGTCACTTGATCCCAGCATATAACAACCTTCCTGAATAAATCAAGCAACAGTTTGGTATTCAATACCATTATAAACTTCATCCTTCACCTTCACGAGTCTAGGGAATTGCTGTAAAAGCATAATATGAGGATGGCGGAAGTGTAGCAAGGATTCAAGAAATTCACTCTGTTGTAACTAGGGAATTAAAGATTCAGTTACAGATATCATACTATGTGTAGAGAAATGCATCTAAAATACTAGTTAAGTAACCTTTTTGAAAACAGCGTCAGAAAAGTCAAAGTCAAATTTCGTAACTGAAAGTTTTTTCCTCCTTGTAATAAAAGCAAACCCAACTTAATATACAAGTGAAACTGGTATCTCCTTGAGATTAGGGCAGTGGGAATGCAAATGAAGTTCCAGTTATGAGATATGGAATTACGTAGACGAGCATACAAATTGCTAACTGAACATTTACAAAATTAAATTTATTTCTGGTAGTTTACACAAGGTAAATCAGAAGAAAATCAATTCTATTATTATACATTTCCAAAACTTTAATAGTAGTGCTCATAGCCCTCAAAGTTCTTTGGTGAGTAGTTGTTACTAGGAGGACTTCCATAAATTCCCTTAAAATACATTGAGAAAAGGAAATCTTTGTGCTTTAATTCTAATAACAGTTCTCATTATAGATGAACCTCTGTCTGACATAATTTGATAATTTAGGACTGCAAGCAAAGTTCTAAGAATTAACTTAGGAAAAAACTGGGATGGTGCTAATTATCTTGTCCAACCCATATAGAAAATCCTGGTGAGTTTCTTCCATAAGGAAGTAATGAACAAGCTGCTTATCCCACATAATCGAACAACAATATTCAGATAAATCGTGCAACAAAAGTTTCCAAACTTGCAGAAGTAGATTCACATATACTAATTTTTAATTCTTCTTTATATGTGATAGACAGCTTAAACACAATGGAAATTTCTAGCACATAAATGAATAAGTAAAAATGACATTATTTTCTCATTCTCATTTGCTTTCTCCTGAGATTAAAATCTTGCCCATGTTTTAATTTTTTGGAGCATGATTTGGGGGGTATTAATTTTAGATTTTGTCTTCATCAAAGTAGCAAGATAATTTTAAACTCCTTGGGAATAAAATGTTACTTAACATATAAGCATCTGCAAATGGCACAGAGAGACAAACTCATTAACCACATTTCAAGATTAACACGATTGAGGCTGGGCACAGTGGCTCATGCCTGTAATCCCAGCACATTGGGAGGCTGAGGCAGGAGGATCCCTTGAGCCCACAAGTTTTTCACCAGCCTGGGCAACATAGTGAGACCCTGTCTTTTAAAAAAACTGGGTGTGGTGGCATGTGCCTGTGGTATCAGCTACTTGAGAGGCTAAGCTGTTAGAATCACTTGAGACTGGGAGGTCTAGGCTACAGTAAGCTGAGATTATACCACTCCAGCCTGGCCAACAAAGAGAGACTCCATCAAAATTAAAAAAAAAAAAAAAAAGAAAAGAAAGAAAAAAAGAAATAAAAGATTAACATGATTGAGACCATTTACACAGATGTTTTTCCTCTAATTGTGCCATTAAAACCCACTAAATCTCTCAAGGTAACATTGGCTGCAAACCGACTTAAATACATTATTATAAATTTTTTTTTATATACTATGGTGCCAGGCACCATTCTTGGAATAAGGGATATTACAAAGAATAAATGTATAAAGACCTGGCCCTCATATAACTTAACTTACAAATATTTATCATCTCATATAACAGAAAATCCAAAAATAGCGCAGCTCTACTATTATTGATTTCACAGCTTTATATCATGAAAGACAAAGATTCCATATGTTTACAGTCATCTTCAGCATGTCAACTTTCTCATCTGACTATTGCCCTCATAATTATGAGTCTATGATGCAGCTTCAGGCATTTCATCAAAGAATGACATCAAGCCTTGAAAAGAGGGGGCATTCTCCCTTAATGTCTTTTTCTAAAAATATTTAAAAACACTTTTCCAGAAACCCTCCAGGAGATGTCCTCTCACATCTCATTGGCCAGAACTGAGTCACAGGCTGACCTCCAAACCAATCACTTGCAAGGGGAACAGGATGACCATGACTGGCTGAAACTAATCAGAATCTTTTCACCTGACTTTTGTGCATCTGAACAAAATCTGTAATCTCTTAAGAAAGATGCAAATGTTCAGAGAGCAACAAGCAATTTCAACTGCATCAACACTTTTTTAAAAATTTAAACAAAGAAAAGTATTGGGAATAATATATAACACCCAGAAATTTACCAGAATTTTTAAAATTTGAACTTTTTACATATTTGCTCTAAGTAGATATATTTTTTTAAAAAAAAATCCAATACGCCTTTTTGAATGACTGAATATTAGCACCTTCATCCCTTAACATCACTAAGAAGCTAAACTCTGTCCATTAACAATCTCCTAGAATAGTCTGTCCTCCATATTGTCCTATTGCTACTAACCATGCTTCCCAGATACAACTTCTACATATGCTCTACGGGCCTAACCCTGCCCTGTGGCATCAAAATCTTCCAGAGAGTGGAACCCAGAAACAATATTTGAAAAAAGCTTTCAGGTAATTCTGATATACAACCAGATTTTAAACTATTGCTCTAGTATAAACTGTTATTCTGTAAATATTATTTTGTTCTTTTATTATAGTGTTTAGTGACACAAACAACCTGTTCTTTTTGATATATTGTTGGTGGGAGCTGTAGTCATGTGACTGTGGGTTGTAAAATTCCAAGATGACGCCTTCCACTAGTACTCATCAGCCCGAAGTGCAGGTTGGTGCTTCAAAAATGTTATCTTGGTGATTTTGTCTTGAAGATAGAAAAAATAACCATATAAAATGACATCTCCCAGTTTGGTGGTGTTTTTTCCTTTTTTTTTTTTTTTTGGTTTCCTGACTAGGACATCAGAGTGAGCACAATGAACACAGACTTTCCCAGTCATAAATCAGAAGTAACAACAGGCTCACAATTTCAGCACAGCCAAGCCCAGTGGCACTCACAAATCATTCTTTACCTTTGGGAATTTACTTTGATAATGTAAAACACTGACTATTATCTTTGACATTATGAAGAAATAATTTTGCTACAAAAAATAAATAATATACCCTACCAAAACTAAATTTATTTTCTAAATTTGCTCAAAAGATTGCTTTCATTAATAAAATTCTGAAATTTAATCAATGCTTATCTTCAATGACAATGATATCTGGCAAACATGTGAAACACTAAAGTAACTTTAAAAAAATCTAGAGAAGTGAGTTTTAAACATTCTCTCTAGAAGCAGCATCCTTTTGGCATACTGTACATATATGGAAAATTATAACCTGAAGCAACACTACATGGCGGTGTGTTATTCTATTTTGCAAGTGATACATTTTAACCAAAGTACTCTTCTGGGGAAAACAGAAGCAAAACTAAGAAATAGTGTCAGAATACAAGGATAAAATGTAAGAAAAAATGAAATAACAAAGTAGGGAAAGATACAACCAAATGAGAGATAAAGAAAATATTGCTTATTCTCATACAATAAACTTTTATTGAGCACCTAATAATATCCTGAAGACTCTGTGCTAGTTAATAGATGTCAGAGAGGGAATACATCTTGAAAACTCTCCCAGATTACAAAACTGGCCCGTCCCTGCTCATCCCCCACCACCTGTCACTAACTGAATCAGTAACCTTTGCTGTGTGCCTTGCACACAAGTATCTCTCAAATGTCAACTGTGTTCCATAATCCATCCTTTCCCCTCCGTCTACCTGGTCAACATCAGTTTAAGTCCTCATCATCTCTTATCTAGGTTATCTTGGTCTCCTAACCTGAACTCTGGGAGTCCAGATTTTCTCTTCCGGCCCATCTTCCATTTCACTACCAAAAATACATTTCTAAAAAATAAAACCAAAAACAAAATGTGTTTACATTAATGTCCTAGATGAAAGCTCCAGTATTTACCCATCTCCAGGATAAAATCACAACTCAGTAGCCTCTTCCAAACCCTTCACAGTATTGCTCCAAACCCCTATGCCATTGTTTTCTCTTATTTTCCCACACTCTAGCTACACTGAATTTCTCCTGATTCCCAAACTTACCACAATCTTTTCATGCCTCTAGGCCTTGTACCTACTACTCCTCTCCTTGGAATGCCCTTCACTGCCTCTTACTCTTACATCAACACCTAGGTGAAATGTCATCTACTATCTGCCTTTGCTAAATTGTTCCGCTGGGAACCTTGTGGCTCCCTCCTCTGCCTCTAGAGCAAAATTTGTTTAAAGATCCGTCCTCTCCACCAAACTGTATGCTTTTCCATAACAAGAAACATTCCACTCCTTCATTCATATAGTCACTCAACATTTATTAAATGACACATGGAAGCCCACATACATACAGTGCTATTCTTCTGATCCAGCACTGAGAACAGTGACCACATAGAAAAATGACGTCAAGGGGCCCGGCATGGTGGCTAACGCCTGTAATCCCAGCACTTTGGGAGGCCGAGGCAGGCTGATCATGAGGTCACGAGTTCGAGACCAGCCTGGCCAATACAGGAAAACCCTGTTTCTACTAAAAATACAAAAACTAGCTGGGTGTGGTGGCGGGTGCCTGTAATCCCAACTACTCAGGAGGCTGAGGCACGAGAATCGCTTGAACTCAGGAGGCGGAGGTTGCAGTGAGCCAAGATCGTGCCATGGCACTCCAGCCTGGGCAACAGAGTGATGTTCTGTCGGAAGGGGAGGGAAGCGAAGGGAAGGGAAGGGAAGGGAAGGGAAGTGAAGGGAAGGAAAGGGAAGGGAAGGGAAGGGGAGGGGAGGGGAGGGCATCAAGGAAGAATAGAAAGAAACAATAATGTTCTTCTGCAGCTCCCCATTTCAATTGTTTAAATAAAATCTTAATAAGTACATATTGCTTACCTAGAAAAGCAAATTAAGAAAAATAATGCAATTGCCTTTCCCTGTACTTCCCAGATATAATGCTTCTTATACTTAACCCTGATGATTTTTAAAACCTGTAGCAAGTGTCTGCCTCTTTCAAACCCCTATAAACCATCCCATGCACATAATTCATAAGGTCAATTATTATTTCTAATTCAAATTAGTTGGAAAAATGACAATGTCAAATGTATTCATCACCATAGACCTCACATTAATTTCATCAATAGTTAGAAAAATATAATTCTGTATTCCAACAGTAGACAAAAACCATGAATAATACATGGAGCTAATAAAAAAATAGAACAATAAAAAGATTTCAGCACTTGAAGAAAAACAGGAAGTTGAAATACCCATTATATATAAAATTATGTTTTATTTATATTATGCATTCTTTTACCGGACATTTATCTAGAAAGTACCAGACACAGTGCTAAGATGAGTTAAATAAAGGTAAACAAAAATACACTAAACATCTAAGTAAACAAAGCCCAGCACAGTGGCTCACACCTGTAATCCCAGCACTTTGGAAGGCCAAGGCGGGAGGATCAGTTGAGGCCATGAATTCAAGACCAGCTTGGGCAACATAACAAGATCCCATCTCTACAAAAACAATAAAATTATCCAGGCATGGTGGCACGTGCCTGTACTCTTAGCTACTTAGGAGTACCAGCTGAGGCTGGTAGATGGCTGGAACCCAGGAGGTTGAGGCTGCAGTGAGCTATGATTGTGCCACTGCACTCCAGCCTGGGTGACAGGCTGACACATCTTGCCTCAAAAACAAACAAATAATAGATGCACAATTTTAAATTATGGCAACTAGTATAAAAGTACTACTGGCAGAGAGAATATCAAGGGAAATTTTTTAGTTTGGATAGCAAGGAATGGCATTTCAACAAAGATCTGAAGGGGAAGGGCCCTCACAAAGACAAGGAGCAACAGAGTCTCAGACCAGACTAACAACACCTGCAAAGCCCTGAAGCCGAACAAGGCTCAGCACATTTGCTGACCTGATGGAAAGCCAGTGTGGCTAGATAATACACACACTGTCCTCTGGATGTATATTTATTACCTAATTCAAATTATAAACATTAACAAATATATTAGAAAAATCACAGAATGTACTTCCATAAACCATTCCCAGCAATAGTCTTCCAAATATTGTGCTTATTTACCATATACGCCATTACCATTATAAATTATTCATTTATAAGACCACTCTCAGTATAACTGACCAGAAATTGGCTTAAATATTTACTGCAAACTGAGGCACTCCCAATAAAAGGTTCTTTGAAGTTACATAAAGGGGCCATCAACTGTATATAAATGTAAAATACAACCACAATTTGGAATATTAGAAAACACTTTCAGAAATTTTATACTTTAATTACTTTCCAAGAAAGAAACACATACATTCATTTCTCTGAAATATACAAACTTATTTATATTGAAATTGAGTGAAAATTGTTCTTAGGCTAGAAAGAATAGTATGAATGATTTGATGCTCTTTAATAATGAAATGAACAGTTGTGAGGGAATCATGTTGCCATTCTTATGAATCTGCTCAGATTTTAGAAATGACACTATCACTCTGATTTGTATCTAACTTCATATTTTTGTCTAATTTCGTAAATCTGGTTCCTTTACTCGGTTAAAACACATAATTCTCTAGCAGTAGTTCTCAACCTTTTTCCAACTCCACAGAGTTTATCTGAGCACTGCACATCCTCTAGTAATATCCTGTGTGGTTCAAAAAAAACAGACTCCTCCTCCAGAGATTCTTATGTCTCCTGCCTTATGCACTTCACTGGAGAATCATAATTCTAATACTGGAAACATGGACGGTTAGAATGATGACCAAGGGCAGTTTTTATCATAAAGGCAAACCCTTATGGGAGAACAAAATGGGCAACTTGACAGTGAATTAAATGTCTATATATCTGGGAACTTAAAAACTCCCATTAATTTCAAGTAATTATTTTCTATTAATATAGCCTTTCAAATCCCATATCATGGTTTACAAATTGCAAGTGGTTACTACATATTCTCATTGATTATCAAAGATCATTTTCAAAAGTTGCAGCTCCGGTTCTGCCACTATCTGAGTATTCTTGGGCAAACTACTTACTTCTCTGCTTCAATTTGTCCATTGAGAAACACAGAGGTTGAACACACTGATCTCTGATCACCTTCGCTATCTTTAAATTACAAGAGTATAGATCCCTGATTTATTGTCAACATGTAGAAAAACAATGTGTATATGACATGATATCTAGAAAAAAATCTGGAAAGAATCTATGTAAGAACCCACTTCATTATGCCTTGCAATTCAGAATCTAAGTCATCTAAATAATATTTATCAACATCATTATTAAAATTTTCTTCTTTTTCTAGAGAAACAAGTAAGAGAGGGTGGAAGGTATGATATCTTCAATAGAAACATTCAGTTAGAGTGAAATTAACCTGCAGGAGTGACATGGTTTGGATTTGTGTCCCTGCCCAAATCTCATGTTAAATTGTAATCTCCAGTGTTGTAGGAGCGGGTCTAATGGGAGGTGATAGGATCATGGGGGCAAATTTCCCCCTTGCTATTCTCATGATAGTGAGTTCTCATGAGATCTTCTTGTTTAAAAGTGTGTAGCACCTCCTCCTTTGCTCTCTTCCTCATGCTCTGGCCATGTAATTATGTGCCTGTTTCCCCTTCACCTTCCACCATGATTGTGAGTTTTCTGAGGCCTCCCCAGCAGTGCTTTCTGTACAGCATGCATATGCATGAGAAAACTATACCTCTTTTCTTTATAAATTACCCAGGTTCAGGTATTTTCTTATAGCAGTGTAAGAATGGACTCATATAAGGAGTATATGAGTAAAGTATATGAGAAAAGTGATTGAGCACTTTTCTGTCTACCTACTGCCAACAATTATTAACTATACTAGTGTCATAATCCCCTCTGCTTTCAGCCTGGTGTCAGGAGCTCAGGGCTGCTACTAGTGACAATGGCAACCAGGAGGAGGTAAGATTAAATCTCTTCCTTTCTTTGCTTTGAGTTAAAGAACTAGGGAATAAAAGAGAATATGAAAACTAACATGTTCTCTAATTCGTAATCTCTGGTTCATGGCCATCATTGATCAAGAGAGAAAGAGGTTAGGAGTGTTCATGTGTTGTGGGGGGAAAGGATTGTGTCTCATCCTTTAGGCAGTCAATTTCACTGAGCACCCGGTGTTTAGTATGACACTCCCATGCTTGCTCTGCTATGCCTAGTGCCCAGAGCAGGCAGGGGTGGTGCGGAGGAAACCTGATATTCTAAATCTTGCACACTCTTCTTCTCAGGTCTAAATTTCATCCCATCTTCCAAGAGCCTTGGGTCCTCCAAATCTTGAGCCTTTTGGGGTAGTACTGTGTTTTGTGTCATACTGACATTTAGGTTCCAGATTTTCAGAACCATAAAATTAGTTATTATTTCTCCATCTACTTGCCGTCTTGAAGAAATGTCTTCACATATTTGATCCACTATTGTTTCCTTGTCTGTGCCTCTCTTTAAATGTGTACCTTTTTAAAATGTATTATTAATTTACTATCATTTAAGTGGGATTTCAAAAATCATAGAATATACATATTGAATCTGCATGTTGAACAAAATATGTTTTATTTCCTAAGAGGCAAACAAAAACTCCAGAAAATTTGGAAAAATGTTAACACTTATTAAATCTGAGTGTCTGGGACATTGGTACTTATAATATTCTTGTGCATATTTTTCTGATTGAGATCTTTCATTATATTTAAAAGTGAAAATTAATTTTGAAATAAAAGGGGTCTATTCAGTGCAGTGGCTCATTTCCTCATATGTAGAAATCCCTTTTGATATGTGTTTGCGGGGTTTTTTAAGACTATATTAAAAAAAGGCCATGGTACACCTACTGGACTCTTTCCCACTTACTCTTGGATAATCAGTGAGAGGATCCAGGGGTCAAGCTCTACTTTTCTCCCTGGTTCTCTGCTTAGCATCTCTGGATCAGCCTGAAAACGCAGTAAGGAAGAGGTTCTATGCTTTCCATGGCATAACTCACAATGGCCCTGTACTTCTTCCTTTAACCAAGTGCTGGTTATTCTCATCACTCTGTGTGACTCATATCCATCTAGAGACTTTGAGACTTAACAAAATATTTCCATTTCGATTTTCATATTTGACCCTTCACCAACCCCGTGAGGTAGTGAGAAAAGGGATTTTCTCCAAGTACATTTCAAAGATGCAAAAGTTTAAGCTAAAAGACAAAGTGACTCACCCAGTGTCCCACAGTGAATGAGTTTTAGTGAGGATTAGTATCCGAATCACAGAGCTCCACACCTCACCTTCTCTAGGTGCATATAGTCTTTCACTATACACTGGTGTTATGTGCTGCCTGCACCTTTACAATGTCTAACTAAGCACCTCACTCCTATTAAATAGGAAGTGGCTGACGAGAAAGGTACACTTTTAGCCATTCTTTTATTTTCACTTTTCCTCCAGTCCCATTATTATTATTATTATTATTATTATTATTAGTCTATTTAGAATGTGGGAGTCAAGATAATTGGCTTACCACAGGTGTATCTTCCATTATTTTTTTTAAAGCACCATTCTATGTTTGTATCTATAGTCACTGACGCCTCCACTTATTCCAAAGTCTTCCTACATAATCATTATGTGTGTGAAATTTCAGCAGTTATTTCCCAAGGCACACTAGAGTGGACTGCAATAGGCCTGACTAACTGGAAACTCTCTAAGTTGAAATTAAGTTATCTGAATAATGAAACTTCTTTATGGCATTTTCCAAAAGACTAAGTTTTAATGTTGTATGCCAAAACAATATCATGCAGATATGTCCAAACTGGAGATGCACATGATAATGAGCCTGTCTTCCAAGAGGACTTTCACAAATATTTTCATATTTGTATTAATGAACAAAGATGTGAAAATGACACTACACCTTCAATTAAGAGGAAGAATAAAACCATCCCCAAATGATTTAATGTCTTATTTGCTCTCTGAGAAATACTATTCTAGGACTATAAACCACCCATTTTTCAATTTACTGTAATTTAGTGTTTCATACACTAAAATGGACACTAAAATCTGTCATTATTACTGACCAGGCTATGATCACACCTACTCAGTCATACCAGAGCTGTAGATTCTGACTCTGAGAGCTTAGTTATCTAATTTTGTTTTTTAGGCTCAAGAAGTAATAGTTGGTCTTATGTTTGTTCATTTTTAGTAAAAAGAAAAATTCAGAAAATGAACACTCCCACACATTTGTGCTTTTGGCACATTAAGTATGTACTCTGTGAACTGTATCATTTAAATATTTTTACTTTAACACTGTAGATGTCATAACACAAACAAACAAAATTGAAGACTTCTTCCCAGTGAGTGTTACAACAAACCCCTCATTTCCTCTAGGCTTAATGAGGACAAGGAACTGATTGTGAACCCAATGTTTATCAAAATAAGCAAACCGGAGGAAGATAATAAATGAGGAGTGGCGAATCCTTAGCTAAGTAATGGGCTGCATATTTTAGGGAAAATCATTTGTTTGTTTGTTTGTTTGTTATTTTGTTGTTGTTGTTGTTTTCTTGAGATGGAGTTTCACACTTGTCACCCAGGCTAGAGTGCAATGGTGCAATCTCAGCTCACTGCAACCTCTGCCTCCTGGGTTCAAGCAATTTTCCTGCTTCAGCCTCCCAAGTAGCTGGGATTACAGGCATGCACCACCACGCCCGGCTAATTTTTGTATTATTAGTAGAGATGGGGTTTCACAACATTGGCCAGGCTGGTCTCGAACTCCTGACCTCAGGTGATCCGCCTGCCTCTGCCTCCCAAAGTGCTGGGATTACAGGCGTGAGCCACCTTGCCCAGCCGGGAAAATAGTTTCAAACATATTTAAGGTAACGGTGATAACCTTCATCAATTTCAGAGTAAAGACTTCACAAAATTATGCAAAAAATAAGAAGAGAGCGTATTTTGTTTGTGTGTCTCCAAAAAATCCAGAGTATATGGTAAACTGTGCTTACATATGGTCTTATACTACATGGACTGTGTATGTGGTATCCTAATTAGTTTCCACAGAAACACTAAAGCCATTGAAGGAACTCCCTCAATGTGAGAGTGATTAGAATTAAGCTCTGCAAGAACAGTTTAGTTTATGATATTTATTCCTGGTAGCTAAATAGTTCCTTCCACAGAGGCAGTTTCTTCACTTTTACTTAATAAAATCAACTTATTACAAGCTATGCTCCTTCTACTCTTTCTCAGCACATATTTATTTCACAATGATAAGTTTTCCTACTTTGTGAGTGCTAGTTTTTCTGGAGTAAGTCCATGACTCATTTTTTAATAAAAGAGTAACTTTTAATAATTAAATGACCAAACCCTATTAAATGCTTAAATATTGTGATACAGATTATTCTTACACAAGCAAATAATTATTATTGGCTTATTGACCATAATGGTGCCAAAAGTTGTATAGATGCAATGTTTTCCTAGCAGGCCTATAAATATTTGCTATTATCTTTGTTTTGGTAACTACTCCTAAATGAGCAAACTATGAACTTTTATACAGTAAGAATGGCTTAAAGCTGCCCCTAATAAATCTTCTTAGTCTTATGCTATATTTCCATACCATTGAAAGAAAAAGCTGATATTGCACAGTTTTGAAATACACTGTTCTCCAAAGTATATGCTTCATCAGCAATTTATTTTAACATCCACATCTCCCTCTCAAAGGGAACTGAAACTAATTATGTATTGTCCCAAATGCCTAGATACCACTGATACCATATGAATTTATATATTATTCAAAAAGCTGATCTTTTTTTTACTTATTAATATGACTCTTAGGTAAACTGTATCGCTATTATAAGAGACTTTGCTTTATGCCAAGAACAAACTCTAGCTATAATAGTTAAGGAGACATTATTTCCAATACATCTACAAACACTTGATTGGAAGACTGCTTATTCCAGAAATTTTTAACTAAAAAACACAGCTTACTCCAATTCAGGAACAGAGTGTCAAAGGAAGATGAAAGAAGCAGGTGTTTGTAATTCTTCAGAAAAAAATAGGCAAAATCGTTTTCATCCTTGAAAACTTTACTCAAATATAACATAAACCTTGATTTCGATGTAATATATCAAGAATCCTAAGATAAATAATTTCTTATGATTACACCTGAAAGATTTTGAAGTGCTTTCACTGTACCATTTAGCCAGACTACCTGTGCAAATTATAATCATTCTTTTGTAATATTATAAAGCTTAGGTAAAAGTGTTACAGAGTAAAACTACAAGTAAGAAACACATTCTGAACAATGATGACATCTCTTGAAAAACCAACTTCCAAAAAGAGCTAAGGGTTAAGCCAAGGAGCCAAAACACACCCTATCCCAAACAGAGAGCCATACCTATCAGTTCCTGTGGGCCATCAGTCATAACTGTAAGAAACCACTTTCTGAAACAAGGTCTTTAAGTATTCAGATAAGTGACTAATATTCACCTTATTTTACTAACTTTGTTTCAGGGCAATATTTTCAATCAAAAACCTTAATACTCAATCTGTGCTGCACTTCAGGATTACATGGGGGCTCACAAATGCCCAAGCCCTACCCCTAATGATTCTAAATTCATTGGTCTGGGGTGGGTTCTGCACATCAGTACATATTTTAAGCCAAGATAAAGAGATGAGAACCATTATTTCACACAAAAGGATATGACTATAGAATCATAATGCCTTCCCCACCTCATATCATTGGTTTCAGTTATCAAGATTTTGTCTTGCTGCAGAAGGAAAATGCATATTTACCGCACATTAAAAATGGCATATGCTGATTCTCTACCTATCCATTGGAATGAGACCAAGTTCTCCAGGAGGCAATAAGTAAATGGTATTAAAGAATAAAAATGCCTTTTTTCTAAGATGTCAAATATATATATATATGTGTGTATATATATGTGTGTGTGTATATATATATATGTGTGTGTGTATATATATATAATATTTATGTATTAAGCCCAAGAACTGTTTTGAATTTAGCACAACAAAGATGAAGTTCTGAAGGAGTATAGTATACTGCAATTTTTCCAACTTTTCTCTTGCCAACACAAGGGCAGAATGCAGTCTTATTAATACTAGTGGTAAAAGAGCAGTAATTTTCAACTAGGAAAGTGGACTAGAATTGGGAGCTTGGAATAAGGTTATAACTTGGAACAACTGTCTCCTCTCCTATGATTCTAACACTCTCTAGAGGACCACATACATCACAAAGTCCCTTCCCTACCCTTATCTCTACCCCACTCTCCATTTGAGAATCACTCTAGGGTTAAGGGTGTATGCTGAAAAATCAAGATATTAGCTGCATGGCCCCAGGTCAGTTGCTTGACTTTTCTGAGCTCAGTCTTATAGATAAATAATAGTGATACTCATCCCATATGCTTGAGCTGCTGATAGCCCAGGTTAGAGCAATATATGAAAAACTTCATTAACTGTAAAAAGCTATGGTAATAACATTGTTAATATTACTAATAAAAACATCTTTTAATATGCATGAACTGCGGACTGAGAAAATTAGCTCCTTAAGAGAAGCAAAGATAGTCAATCCACATTTTAAACAAATTACCACAGCTTAACTAATTGAAAGCTGTCAGTCTCCTACAGAGACGCTAAATGTAGTCAAAAGGTAAAGACTTTCATTTATTCAACAATTAACATAAATGTATTTGGGGGAAACTATGTGCATGGCCCTGGGCTGAGGGATGTGGGGTCTACAGAGCTGAATGAGACACCAATCTTACCCTTAAGGAACCTTCAGTCCAGTAATGGAGAAGAGGGTCATAAACACCTGTATTACAATTTTGAAATTAATGAGTCCTTTAGGAGAGATACAGTTAAACACTCCCAGTCCCAGATGAGGCAGAAATCACACGAGCCTTGCTTGTTGGGCGGGAGACGTGGAGAGATGGGTAACATGAGTGAAGCCTGGGAAAAGGAAAATACTAGACAAGTGGACAGAGGTGCAAATAACATATTTTGGCTATGGCGAAAGTTCATGAAAGGAAGTAGTAGAGAAAAAAATCAATTTATTTCAATTTTTAAAATCAATCATCCAAATTTGCTTAATGAAAGTTTACTGTGGTCCTGGAATTATGCTGATTGCTTGGGGTACAACTTAGAGCCAGCAGACATTAGACATGTGAATTGCACAAATAAATTACAAATTGTGGCAACAGCTAAAAAGGAAAGGGTGTTGTGAGAAATAGGAAAAGCCATTGTAGATGGGGGTCTGGGAAGGCCTTTCTGAAGGGACAAGCCTGAAGGAAGATCTGGTATGCAAAAGACCGACGAGAGGCAGAAAGGAACCCAGTGGCATCTGAGAGACTGAAAGGGAGTCAACATGAACTATAGAGGCAGAAAGTGGTGAGGGGAGTGGTAGGATAGGGAGGGAGTTTCAAGCAGAAAACATGTCCTGTCAAATCCTACAGATAGAATAAGGACTGAGAAGAGCCCACTGCACTAAATGAGAAACACAACCTATCAGTCTCAAAACACTACTGTAGTAGTATTTACTAATTCTCCCAGGACATAGACCAAGATGGCTTAAGGTATCAGGCATGTAGACCAGAACTGGATTTGACTACCAGGAGCTGTGCTTAAATATAAACTACAATGACCCAGTAATGAGAGGACTAGAATATAATCTGAATCCTTACAGAACAGTAAGTGTTATAAAATCAAAAGGCAATAATGAACCCAAAATGGAAACCAACTAAAAACTGAGAAGCAGAGACATTTCAACTGAGATGAGAGAACACATATTTATTCTATAATTAATCCTTCCATTACATAACACTCTTCCTCTATGCCCCACAGGCTGGGAACCTGAAGTGAGAAGACCGACCGATGTGTGGTCTGTTACCATAGTTTCAGCATAAGCATGGCAGAAATGCCATAAGATTATGGAATTTAGGGAGATCATGAAAGATCATTTGCAGATTCCAGTTGACCATGAAAACAGTCAGGTGAAGACAAGAAGCGGATAAGATATTACAAGGGAAAAGAACGTAATTAGCAGATTAGGCACAATTATCATTAAGGAAAAGGACAGGGAGAAATGAGAATGTGAATTTCTGGTTTCAAAACCTTAGAATGGAGCAGATCTCCATAATAAAAAAGTCCAAGGTATATCAATATGTTGTGCAGGGTGGAATGAGTGAAACAGGTACGGCTGTTAGACTTAAAGAATCAAT
This sequence comes from Homo sapiens, assembly GCF_000001405.40. NCBI lineage: Eukaryota > Metazoa > Chordata > Mammalia > Primates > Hominidae > Homo > Homo sapiens. The sequence continues at coordinate 114,954,088 of NC_000007.14, read as the reverse complement.
GTGATTTCAAAGAAATGAAAAGAAGCTCTACATCAGTCTGAGACTGGGAAATCCTGACCTAGAAGGGCAAATAAGACACTAAAATCAGCTCCCTCTGTCTATGCGTTCCAAATCAGTGGATTCAGTCAATCACAAATCAAAAATATCCAGCAGGGGGAGAAAGGTGGTTGTAACTTCTGGACCATGTGCAAACTTTTTTTCTTTAATTATTCCCTAGACAATATAGTATAACAACTATTTACATAGCATTTACATTGTATTAGGTATTATAAGTAATGTAGAGACAATTTAAAGTATATTAGAAGATATGCATAGGTTATATGCAAATACCATGCCATTTTATATAAGGCATCTGAGCATCTGAATATTAGGGTATGCTCAGGGGCCCTGGAACCAAACCTTCATGGATACCGAAGGGACAACTGTAGTAGAGATCACATAGCTAGAAAGTGGAGCAGAAGGCATAAAGAGTCACAGCCATATCACACTCAACACTGTTTCACACAATGACTGATTGACTAATTTCAGGTACTGCTATTTGATTTTCTGTGACACCTGGGAATTAATATAATATCAACATCCCTTCACATCAACTATCCAGGACCAGATTGGTAACTAGCTTCAAATTTAATGTTGAAATAATCAGAAGTTCTTGTAGCCTGAAATTGTTCCATCTACTTTGAATTAGTCCAAACACATGTAGCCTTTATGGCAAAAATCAATATTATTCCAATCCTCTTTTTAAAAAAGATTTTTATGATATATACCTATTTTTTTGTTTCATTGGGGTAAAATATTTGAATTTAATAAATTTAAAAGACAACCTTTTATTTAGAAATCAAAAAACAAGTTACATGTATTTGAATTAAAAATGCTGAATGACTTGTTCTTGTTATTTAAAAGATGTAAAGCTAGACTAAAAATCAACTATCACAAATTGGCTAAAATACTGAAAACTTAAATATGTAGGAATATGGGTTTAATCTTCCATGTTCTGTAGTAAATATTTTTACACAAAACCATTTGGTAAGATTAAAAATCTACTGAATATGGGAGAAACATAATAATAAGAACCCAACTCACAAAGAATAAGAAGAAAATGGTAATTATTAATAATCACACCATTCGTTGGGTGTGGTGTTGTTGCCACTGCTGCCTACATTATCAGTCTCCTTTGTAATTATGACAGCGCCTTTGCAATGCTGAAGGAATATCGTGAAGATAACCTGCAAAGACAGGCCTACACATAAATGATATATTAATATCTTTTTCATAAAGACAGGGAATGATGGGCAGCATCCGAAGTATGATCTTATTATGATCACACTGGCATGAATCAATTATTCATGACAATTTGAGATGGTGGGAATCTTTTTTTCCTTAAATTTTCTAATCGGAGTTCTCACAAGTTCTCATGAACCATGGAAAATATACTTAATTAAAGAATGTTCCAAAGCAGAACAAATTTCTCCACCTACTCTCTTCTATGGTTCACTTTAATGTAATTTTCACCCTCTAAGACAGCATCTGTGTGTTTTAGAAGAGATTTCCTTTGATTTTTGTGTATCTTGCTGCAGAACTCAGGGACCTGGAAAAAATCCAGCTTTTGGTGGAAAACTGTGGAGCATGGATTTGTCACTAACTCCTTAAAGGCTAGTTGAAAAAAAAAAAATGGAGCAAATCAGGTACTGATTCTCAGCTTGCTAGAGAGGGATTTCCACCAGCCCCTCTCATTCTGACGGACCCCTACACGCTGTACTGAGCCTTGGATAAAACTGGAAGCAGGTCTTCCTGCTTTCTGCTGGCTGTGGCCAGCTAAGAGCTGAGAACCACTGCCTTCCGGAGCTTGCCCATGGCGATTGTTTCACATAGCTATACAAGATTCTCATGTTTGTGAGTAGAATAGCAACTGATTTGCCCAAGCCCAGAAAAACTCCTTCTTTCCTGAATTCTTGGAATTTGCTGATAAAACAATTATAAAAATAGGTATAGAATATTACTTTATGTTTACCAGAAATGGAGTCCCACTCCTTCAATGCTTGCAGCCAGGCCCAGCATCATGGGTGCGAAACTACGCGGTTGTGGCAAGCCCAGCACTTAGAAGGACCCCCGTGCCTGGCTTAATGCTTTGCTGTTGTTCTCTTGAAATTCATAATAATATTTTAACAAGAGACCCTGCATTCTCATTCTGCACTGCCCTCCATTTTCTGAATCATGTAGCTGGTTCTATCTCCTACAGAACCTGAAGGAAGCCGAATGTCCTGGTCCACCTATAACCTGAAGTATCTTCTACAGGTGACTAAGCTCTAATGCTACTTTAAAGAGGTGGTACCCCACCCTGATATTTTGCCATATCACGTGATAATTTTCTTTTTAAAATATTTTTGTTTTAATTTAATAAAATAATTCACTTCATGGGAAAAAAAAACACAGAAAAGAGAATACAGAATATTAAGTGGGAGTCCTCTTCACCCATATGCTTTCACTCAACTTCATATAACTCCCTAAAGGTAACTATTGAGAGGAAATGGATCTATATCTTGCATTAAGAAAAAAATAAACACACATGTATAATTTGATATTAATCTTTCCTTCATATACATATGTATCTATATATACACAGACACTGACATATGTCTTTTTTTAAATTATCATTTTGTATATCTACTAGACTAAATGGAGAAGACTCTTTGGAATCTTACAGTAATGAAGACTGGTTCCAAAAAATCTGTATTTTTTTTTTCCATTCATTTCAGGGACCTCACCTTAGAGAATATCAAACTACTATTCCATTCATCCCCAACAGGTGACTGACCTTAGGCCAAAGCAGCAAAGAACCAGAGATGACCAGACCAACTGGCTATTCTTCCTAAACCATTTGTCTTTCTTTTCTTTTTCTTTTTTAGACAGGGTCTCCCTCTGTCACCCATGCTGGAATGCAGTGATGCAATCACAGTTCACTGCAGTCCCAACCTCCTAGGCTCAAGCTATCTTCCCACCTCAGCCTCCCAAGTAACTGGGACTACAGGCAGGCACCACCATGCCTGGCTAATGATTTTTTTGTGTTTGTTTTGTTTTATGGAGTCAGGGTTTCACTATATTGCCCTGGCTTTTCTCAAACTCCTGAAATCAAGCAATCCTCATGCCTTGGCTTCCTGAAGTGCTGGGATTACAGGTGTGAGCCACTGCACTTGGCCCCTCCTGACCCTTTAAGTTTCAATGAGGCATCTGAAATTCCAGAAACATTGATAAAAACCCAGCTTTACCTATTGTTGGATATATTTGATTAAAACAAACCTCTAGATCTCCTCTTCCCCAGCTGTTATATATGGCAATTTTTATGCAGCCTTTTCTGATTATAGCACTTTTAGTTTAGGAGAAACTATTTCAGTCACCCATCTTCCTTATGACTATACCTTGAGCCTTTACCTCCCCTGAGACTATTCCAACTCAGAAATCTTAAATTCATATTTCTCATTCTCATACTGCATCTTCTCTTCCCATATTTTCCCTTCATTTACTATATCTATACCTGTTTTATTTCTGAAACAACAGGAAACTTATGGACTATTAACCCCTCTGATGTTTTTACTTATTTATGATGCCCTTCTTGTCTTTATTTCCTTCCCTACCCATTTTATAGCCGTAGCTCATCACTTCACACCCTCTTTGGACAATATCCACAAATCATTTGCTCCACCGTCATTTCATCACAACTATCACTTGTCCAAACTAAAACCTTGGGCTTCATTCTCAGCACCTGTCATTCCTTTAATCCTATATGTCTTACTGGCTACATCCCATAGAAAGCTGAATCCATCTCCTCCTTGTAATCCTACCTGTCATTACCCCAGTCCAAGACACCTTCCTTTCTCAGAGGCATTACATAACAGTCTTCCAGTTGATCTCTTAATGCCTTCAGTCCTTCCCATTCCTATTTATTTTCTCACTATTTCCAGAGTCATCATCCTAAAATATAGCCCAACTAAAACACAATGTTGATTAAGTCACTACTCCCTTCAATACTTTCTATCTTCCCTTAGTCTTTAACAGATTCTTTCTCATTTCTCACCACGCCTCATCTAACATTTACATCCCAGATTACACAAAACTTCCCCAGCTCCCCTCAAAATGGCCATGTCCTCTCTTACCTCTAGAACTGTAGGTGTGCTGTGCTTTGGGCTTGGAACACCCCAGCTTCAGTCCCTCCCACGAACAGCTTCAGTTGGTGGACTCCCTTTAGGTATCACAGACAACACTTCCACTGGAAAGCTCCCTCTGGCCCCCTCCCCACATTTAGGGTTTGTGTTATCCCATGAGAACCTACTACAGCCTGCACTTCCCCACTGGAGCACTCATAATACACATTATCATATCACAATAAATTGTCTCTCCCACAAGACTGTAAACTTTGAATGCAGAACCCACACCCATCACTGTTATCTCCAACATAACTCAGTTGGTAAACTGTAAGCATTCAGTCTTCATGTAATCAATTTTTAATTTTGTTTTTAAAATTACTCTTTAATTCCTAATTCACAAATTTCAATATAACAACATGATCTGCAAAAACATAATTTACGTGTAAGTTCACAGAGTGTTCAGATCCAGGAAGTTTGAGGTTTGAGAACTAAAATTATCTAGACCACAGCATTTGTGGTCTTGATCATTAAATGTTATTTATTTCTTCAGTGGTTAGCATTTTTGGGATGATCTCTAAGCCAGTTCCCAAGCCTCAGCTCCTTCCTGAGGCTCAGAAACACTCTCCAATAGGAGAGGAATAAATCTACCTCCTCACTGAGCCCTTGTCCACTACTTACACTTTAATGCCATCTCATTTCCCCCAATAATGACCCAAATAATTTAGGAATAACAGGAAGAGATTAAAAACCTTTAACAAAAGAAGTAGGATATAGATTACAAATCAAATGTCATAGAATATAATAAAAGTGAAAGGTAAAGTAATAAATTAGAATAATGATATTAATGATAATAATAAGACAATAATAACAACACACATTGTGCTTTATGGTATACAAAGCACTTTAAAAATATTCTTATCCAATCTTCACGAAAACAAATCTGATCACTTAAGCACAATGGAAAGTATCTAGAAAAACACAAAAAGAAGCTTTGTTTGGAGGAAACACAGAGAAGTATACATAGAAACATCTACTTCCATAAATTGTAAAGCAGTCTCTTTTTTCTTACACTCTGCAAATTCGTTTGTATATAACTTGTCATTTCACAACTCATTAAAATCCATGAGCAAATTCCAATTTACAATTCCAGAGAACTAGAGGTAAATATGAGAAGGAATTTATTACCAATTACAATCTTTAAATAGTAATGGATTTCATTATATATACCTTTATACTGATGAACAATATCTATATATGCAGTAGGATTACACACATCTGTTAGAAAGGCAGAGAATAATATGAGAAAGAAGAAGAAAAGAGGAAAAAAAGAAAAGAGGAAGAAAAGGAGGACAAAAGAATGGGAGGGAGAGAAGGAAGGATGGAAGAAAAGTCCATCCAAGCTGGAGGGAGGGATGCAAAAGGCAGGGAGGGAAGTAAGGTCGTCTCGAATTTTTTTTCTTATGGGTAGGCAAGAAAAATAAGGAACATCGGATGCAAAAAAGGCCATAAATAAAGTGTCATTCCTATTCACCTCCTCAGAAAATGAATGTTATACAGAGCACTACCATAAGAACTTCACTGAAAACTCTTCAAAGTAGCCTTATCAGTAAACGATAGTCAAATTTAGAACTTGATTGCTTTAATATCATAAAAGTCATCTATACATACTTCAAACTTGACATGAATAAACCACGTGCAGCCTGGGAGTAAGAAGGGAGTTAGAAGAATAAATGGAATACTGTAGTGATTTAGAACCTTCATCTCAGGACCTTAACGTCTGAAATAATAGAGGCAAGGTAGGTAAAGCATCTCTTCCCTCCCCCTTATTAATTCAATACACTTAAGTCATCATGCATTTATTAAGCATAAACCATTCAGCAATCAATGTGCTGGTTATTGTTGTAGACAATATCAAAGGTCTCAGAAAGACATGACCTTTTGGATCCAGCCTGTCTGGACATGTAACTCAATGCAGCCATGATGAACTTAAAAAACAAAACAAAACAAACCTTAGAACTAATAGCTGGGCTCAAGGATAATAACAATGAAAACCAATAAATTCAGTGTGTGCTTACTCATTTTGCTTTGTGCTAAGGAAGCATACAATATGCATTTTCTTGTATAATCATCAAAATGACAATGAGGCATAAAATGTTAGCACCTCCCTTTTAAAAATGAGAAGTTAGAGCTCAGAGAGGTAGGTAACTGGCCCAGCATTAGCAGTAATGATGCAGCACGGTCTGACTCCTGGAAGTCAGTTTCCATTGACCTCTTAGCCCCAGAACATTAAATGCTCCAAACAAAAATCGGCTCAAAATGAAATGGTTCTCCCCAGCTTCTGGGCAGAAGCCAGATGAGGATGAAATAATGGAGCCTGAGAAGAAGTGTGTCAGGTAACTTGACCTCCATGCTAGAATACAGCCTAATGGCTGCCATTGACCAATGAGATAAATACAGGAGCCCATCAAAAATGACTTAGGATTATCCACCCAATCTTGAACCCAAACGATTGGTTTGATTTTGGAATAACTGACCATAAAGATCCTCCTCTAAAACAATAATCAAAGCATGTGTACTACAGTCACATAACGTCCAACATACTGAATAAAAAGAGAATTTTTCTGAGAGCCAAATGGAGGAGGAAAAGACATTGAGCAAGGCAAAAGTCAGAATTATTTGCTTCCAATATGTGCCCCCAAAAATGAATGAGCATGAAATATTAGGGAAAAAACTCCTAGATGACCCAAGAAACATAATATGATAGCTATATCTTCCAGTCTTAACTAGGTCATAGTTATCTAGGGGCTGGTTGATGACCTTTTCCATATAAAGTGAATTCTAAAGAAATCCAAATTAACACTTACTGAAATGTGCCATCAAATGAGAGCTGTGAAATAAACTTAATACAAACCTCTTAATGCTCTTTGCTTACCAACAAAGTAAAAATGTTCTAAGTATATAAATAGCACACCTGAGTATCTGCTTTTCTTTCAGTATTTTACATAAAGGAGGCATTCCCTAAAGTGATGAAATGGTATGCATTAAGGGGTGATCCGCATTAAGTTGGCAAAGGCTAGGAAAAGAAATAATAGAGCTCCGAATAACAGAGCCTGTTGATGTTGAGAGCAATTGCAGATGATGCCAAGAGAAAGGTTTCAAGCAGCAAGATGAGTGAAAAGGCATGATACGGCAGCTCCATAAGGGTGAGCAAGTGTGAGCCGGAGAAGAGCTTGCGTTCTACTGCCAATTAAGTGCTTACTATTATGAGAGCTAAAAACTCTTCAAAATGAATAAATGGGTTAAATAGAATGGGGATTACCATTTAAGTAGAGCATTTTAACTTTGCTTCAGATCATGGGAATTCTATAAAATCACAAAGGAGAGAATTAGCTGAACAAAATAGTTTAATTTAATGGGAAATTTATTTCAGAAGAGAAGCTAAGGAAAATTTCTGGAGTTAAGTAATGACATTTAGAATTAGCAGACGTTTATGTAAAAGCAATGTCCAAGGATAAAGTTAAGTAATAAGAATTTTCAGAAAGACCTAGAAAAACCTGAGATAGAGACCTGAGGCACTTTATAAAGAGGAACAAAGAAAAATGTAAGCTCTCTATAGGAAATAATTAGAATAGTAGAATTTGACCTAAATTAAAGGAAAATATTACACATGCCTGAGTGTAAGCACAGTAACACACACACACACACACACACACACACACACTCTTCTTCCTACCTTAGAAATCCCCGCAAAGACTGAGATCAAAATGTTGCTTCTGTTGCTTCTGTTCCTTTTCTTGTCTAATTAAAACATGAAATGTTGCCTATTGCCTGTTATCAGTTTATGCATATTACGGGTTAAATAGAAAAATTAATATTAATTGATGGTGTCGCTTCACTGTAACATTTATTTTACTAAGTCAGAGGAATAGTGACAATTAAAACAGGGCATAGCTTCAATTATACCATATACGCTAATCTGAGGGGAAAAGCCAAAGGCTTAGTTGGTGCTCTTATAAATTCCAAAATTTAAGCCACCTTTCAGAAATTAAATTATACACCAAATTATGTTCTAAGAGTATAAAAGCCTTTTGAAATGTAAAAAGGATAAAAAGTCATAAAATAAAAAAAGAGAATTTCCAATTATAAACTTTTTTCATAAAACCTCCATTGTTTTTAATTCTTTACTAATTTGATTTGGAAATTTTTAAACAAATTTAAGTGGTTGGAATTGTCTTTTTAAATTTAAATTTCATAGGAAAGAGAACCAAAATGTGCGTTCTCTGACCAGATTGTGTGTGGCCTATTTATTCGAAATGTTTGATTCCATATGAGTTTCTTCTTTTTATTTATTACTTCCATAATGTATTCTCTGTAATATGTTAGCAATTCAAGGGCAACCAATTTGAAATCCGCACCCTGAAAAACCATAATACCCCAGGTCTTCCACCTGCAATGTTTTCTACGTGGACCAGGGAAAGCAGACTAAGTACAAACTTCTGTGTAGAGCATGAACCAAGTATGAGTTCAAGCAGGTAGTCCGCTAAGGTCAGGGTTAAAGTTCATAGAATAATTTGGAAATTATTCTCAGCGTGAATATCCCTTATGAGGCCTGAGAATACACCCTTTAATTAGAATACAATTTCCAAAGCAGCCACTCCCTGACTTTCCAGAGCTCAGTTATTCTCAGCAAAGAAAAGTAAAAACAGCCTCATTACACTGACAGCTAACAGTCCCCTATAAATTATGCCTTGAGTGTCCGGCAAAGAAGGCAGCAGCCATCCGGCACAACGGAGACACGAGCTGCCAAGCCCTCACTAACCACTTTCAAGAATAAAGAAAAAGAAGTCACATTCGACCGCGTCTGTCTCCTTCACTTCTTGCGTATGCAGCTGAGCTGCCCCATGGAAGTTTGGAAAAAGAGTGGGTTGTGCATTTGAAAATGTTCCCACACCCCAGCCAGCCTCATTTTTCTGATGATCCCTCTATTCAGCCAAACTCGCGCTACAGTGGGAACACTAACATCAATTCCGTGAGAGCCAGCTGTCCGCTTCTTCCACGGTGCTCAGAGAGCCACACAGGACTCCTGGAATCGGAGCCAGCTCGGGCCTGACTCAACACAGATGTTCCCCTCCTCCCATGAAGCTCTGAGCCAGAGTCTCCTTTTCCAGGGCCTATTGTTATTACAAAAGAGTTTCTGGGCCCCCAAAATGTGCGAGATGCTTAAGCAAGAGGAAAATACACATCTTCCTAACTTCAGAGTTAAGACAGACAGACTAAATTACACAGAGATGGCCAATGACTCTGTGGGGAAGGCCAAAGAAGGAAAGTCAGGCAGCTCTGAGAGTTTAATATCAAAGGAGTTGGAATAGCAGAAGCTACCACAATACAAAACTTTCAAATGCTATCCAGAATTGAGTCAGTTTTAAAGATGATATAAAATGTTCCACTTCTGCAAAATCCAGATATCAAATTTTTTCTGTTGATCCAACAAAGTAGACTTTGTCTAGAAAAGTGTGACTGGGAAAATAACAAAAATGGAGTTTTTGAAATTTATAATCAAAATTCAGAGTCAGATTTCACCCACAAATATTTGGAAATATTTGCCAGCTTATGTTTCAGGCAGGAGTGGCATTGCTATCTTTGGCCAGTATCTTTTGTAAATCCATTCAAACTGTCAGTTTCCCCAGCAGCCCTTTCAGAGGGGGTGTAAATTTCTGTATCTCTTCATTCCTTCAGTGAATATTAGTAAGAAACTAGACAGTGGTTTCCTAATGTTCCAAAGTCCCATGGCACAGGGTACGTCATTATCTCAATAAAGAAACTCATGCAATTTACAATATATTAGATTGGTACCCACTTAACCAATGAAACCGTAGAGTAAATCATTTTAATTCATTCTTTTTAATGGTATGGATTCTATGACTAATATGAGCTTCACCAAATAATATAAACAAATTTAACACATTAGCATGACTCTCCATATTCTTATTTAATAGTGTTTGTCTTTTTTGTTGCTGTTGTTCTAAGAAATCTTATTCACATTTTCCTATTGTGGGCCCTAGGAAAAGAGATTAAGGAAATAAACCAATTAAATGAAGCACACACTTAAAATTGTTACCACCGAAAAAAAAGTGAGAAAACCATTTTGCTTCCCAACAGATAGAGGTAAAATTGTCTCTAGAACTTCTTCTAGTGCTCACTAACTCTGGTTGCTAGGAAGTCAGAGATAACATAGGCCAGTTATTCCACAAAATCATGTGTTTCACAATAGCAGAGTCAATATTAGATAAATGCTAATCAATATATGTTTTTCAGATAAATATTTACTTGAAATAATGTTTATATGATTCTTTGGATAAAGCTATATAAATCTTCCTCCTCACTAATTCCTGAGTCTCATTTCCTTCCTTCCTACTCCCTTCTCCAAGACCAAAGTGTATAAAAACCAAAATGGTCCTAAAATTAACCTAAAACACTCATTTTTAGAGCTTTTGTTTGAAACCTGGAAATTTCCTTCAATAGTGTTTTTATTGTTGTTGTTTATTTTCTCCTAAGTTGGACCCTCTTCCTTTTTTTTTCTAATTTATTTTGTTTAGTTTTCAGTTAGAGACAGGTAGTGGCATTCTAGAGAGGAAAGAAATGTTCTAAGTTTCAAAGTAAGTGTAATGTGGAAGACTGTAAAGGATCTATAGTATGAAGTTACTTAAACTAAAGAAATAAGTTTTTAAACATAAAATAAACATTTGATCCCAGAAGTAAATTCTCCTCCATCCACTCTGAAAAACTGAGAAGGAAACATGGTATTTTGGTTACTCCAAAGGGGAATATCAAAAGATTTACTCCCTATGCTCTTCCAGGTGTGGCTTAGCAGCAATCTTTACACCTAGGTGTTTGCTATGTCGAATAATTCATTGTATGGCAAATTCATCTTGAACACACCTAGGGGAACTTAGTGACCAGAACGTAAACTCCAGGAGCTCGAGAGCAGAACCCCACATGGACTCAGCATTCTGATCAGCACCCAAAAGACAAGGTATTGCAGGGCATTCAAAGAATAACATGAAAATAGACCGAAGCTTTTGTATGCAATTTTAGGAAGAAGAATATCACAAAAAATTTTTTTAACAAACAGTGATAAAATATTAATCATAAAAAAAATTTGGAGTCAGTTAGCTAGAAGAACAGAGACCATAGTAGCATTAATCTTTTAGCTCCATCTTCCTCTTTTTAGTTTCTCCATCCACATATACTTAGAGTTGTTTGACTTCCACTTAGTTGTTACTCAAAAAGGAACTGAATTTTGACTGAATCTCTCTGAGAAGAGTTCAATATTTACGCGTCAATTCTTCATTTCTGAAGAAAGGCAACACTGACAGCATTATGTATATCCTAGCTTTAGCTCTGTAATTTAAAATACAAATGAAACCACTTTTAGATAAACGCTGTTGATTTACGGATTTGTAGCAGAATTATCTGGGGCAATTAACGAAGAATATATTACCATAGTCATATCCCAAAATCACTCAAAGTTTTTTCTAAAAATACTTACTTCTAATGAGTTCACCATCCGAAGGATTTCCCCAAATGGACTGGTCTTGCATCTCTCCATGTGTGAAGTGGCTATTGGTAGCTTGAGTTATATCTTTCTCAGTATTGTCTTTATCACATTTTCCTGAATTAAAAAAGATACATTTAATATAATTGATTTTATATATTTTTCTCTCCTTTTTTAGTATATACATTTTTCTAAATGCTTCCAAGTCTGCCATAATTTAAGGAAATAGAACAGGTATACCTCTATTGCCTGCTGCCTATTTTATTGGCTCAGTAACAGGTATTTACTGAGCACCTACTATCAGCCTGGCATTAAAGAACCAGAGATGTTCATGGTAAAAATAATCTGTTAAGTTTACAGTAAACAAGTAATTTTAACACAGCAAGTGATGTGCCATGATAGAGAAATGTGAAAAGGTTACAGGAAGCATGAAAGTGAGTGAGTCCATGCATGTAGGGGGTTGAGCAGCAGGGAAAGGGGTGAAAGAGAAGAAGCTCTGATGAGTGGTAGAGACGAAAGTCGGCCTGCAGCTGAATGAGGAGTGACTGAGTAGTGAGGAGGTATAGAAAACAAGTACAGCATTCTCTCTCTAGAACGTGAAGAAAAAGTCAAGGACTGTGTAATGCATCCTCTGAGAAGGGGGTATTTAGGACGAGAGATTCGCAAGTGGGTTTATGGGTTCTCAGGGAGAAAGCCAACATGTAAGGAAATGTAAAGTCTTTGGGGCACATAAGTCAAGCCAAAAGCAAACTGGCAACAAGGTATAATGCATGCTATGAGAGGTCCAGAGCACTAAAAAGGTTCAAAGGAAGAAAAAATACTCATCAGGATTCAGAGATCAAGAAAAGCACTGAAGAAAATGATACATGTTGGATGGACTTCAAAAGATTAGTTGGATTTCCAAAAGTCCAGATGGGAGAAAGGTGGAAGAACAGCACGGGCAAACTCCAAAAGCAGACGTTTGGGCAAAGGTTCCAACTCTCTGGACTGTGAAGTACTATGAGTGGCAAATTAGGACAGAAGACTGCGAAGGTTTGATTAGAGACATTGTGTGGATATTAGAATGCTAAGGTGAGAAATCTGGATGAAATTCAAAAGCAAGAAAAATAAGTCAAACTAGCCACTGAAGCTTTATGAAATGCCTTATCAGAACCACGCCTTAGGAAGATTAATAAATTTGTGCACACTTGTGATTCTCAGTTCTGGCTTCACTTTAATTCACTTGGTGAGCTTTTTTTTTCTTGTAAGTATTTTTAGAACTAAAAAACAAACAAACAAACAAAAAACATATTTCTGGATACCAGAATCAAAGATTCTATTTCAACTGAGGGAGAAGAGGCTGAACTCAGATGATTCCAATGGAGTATGGATACATCTAAGAGGGAGAATACAGTAAGGGAAACTAAAAGAGAGACCTAGCAAAGCCCATATTGAAGTTGATAAGAGTTTAATTAACTGGATAACAAGATGGAATAGGGAGTAAATGTGAGAAACTAACTAGAGGTTTGTAAAGATTATCAAGGAAGATGGGGTTGGATATGACCAAGTTCTCAGTTTGGATTTGACTGGGAAAGCCTAAAAATCATGAGACCAATTTATTCTTTCAATAATATATATTTTTGCATAGTAGATGTTTAGGCATTGTGCTAGGTGATGAGGATACAATGACTTATGAAATGCTGCCCAGGCCTTCTTGGAGTTTACAGTCTAGTGGATGAATTAAGTATTGGACATTTGAATTTGCAAGTCAGAAAAAAGGTTATAGCTAGAAATAGTCATCTTTCTAAACTTGATTTCCAAAGCCATTCAAATTAATGAGCTCACTGAAAGAGTGAATATATTAAGAAATATCAAGAAGAGTACCAAGTACCAAGAAGAGTCCGTACAATTAGGAAGGAGTTAGAGAAGTAAGAAAAACTGCATGATGTCAAGCCATGGAAGCAAAGAAAGGAAAGAGATTCAAACAGAAGTTGTTAGTCAACCGTGTTAACATTTCCAGTGGAAGGAAAAAATTTCTGCACATGCAAAAATTTTTCATGTACCATGGGGATTTCACAACAATTAAAAAGTTCTGCCATGAAACAAATTTCAACACATAAAAATAGAGAGACACCCACTTGGGACCGAGTCCAGAGGCTAAGGTCTCTGAACCAAATGGGGTCTTAACTTCCAAGGATTTTTATAAACAAAACCATATTCAAATAGCAGTAAAATATAAATTGAAAATATGCTAAACCAATATGTTCTAGATTTATGTAACATTTACTCAGCATTATCATAGAGAAATGTAATCTTCATGAGATATGTTAGTTTCAATTAAAATCTTTACTTTTTTAAACAACTCCAGAAATCTTTTTACTGCTACAGTCAACTCAAGGTCATTCTGAGATTATCAATAAAAGAGATTTTTCATGGAAACTCACTAGTAGGCAAGAACTAGCTCATCAGCAGAGTCCTACATACTTGCTGCCATTGTTATGTAGCTGACTGCCGCCAGGTGTCATGCTAGTAGGCTTGATTCAATTAGTAACTTTAATTGAAGCTGAATGAAATTAATTATATAATTTTGAGCTGTTCAAATTTAATTCCATTAAAATTAATTCGTGAAACCAAGGCATTATGAAGCATTGCTGACTAAAAGAAAATAGGTATGAATAAAGCCTCTAGACACACTTGACTCATATTTGAATCATGTCCAATATTCGAGTGCTAAACACAGACCCTCTCAACTCTCCATTGAATAAATGAAAATGCCATGTGGACCATATACACATAGATGCACAACTATATAACCCACTCTAGGCAAAAAATAAAGTTCTTCCTGCTCTAAATTGTTATTAATGGACAATTTATCACATTTTTAAGAAAGTTTCCTTATCTGCAAAATTCTAGAATTAGGTGATTCCCAGTGTCCATCTCAGGTCAAAAAAGAAAAAGACTATCATTCTCTGTATGATTATATTCAATGAATAGTAAATAATATGCAATTACTATTAATTCACTATCCTCAGTCTATTCAACTTTGCTTCTCTTGAAAACTAAATGTCTTGGCTCAAAAGCTGGTCTCAGGGTTTTGCTGTGATCCGCAGCACCCAGCCCAAAGCAAGATTCAGAAAAGGTTCCCAATAAAAAAATTTAAATTGACTTTTGCCAATTCTCCACTTGTATAAACAAAACTTCTGTGACCACTTGACTGTTCTGTGACTTTCTAATATATGCATGTTATTTTATTAATATAGTCTTACTATTTACTCATTTCAATGAGCTACCCATATGGCAGTCTCATAAATGGTGGGCAGTTACATATAACACTGAAGAAATGCTCTGAAGAGGGAGCAGGATTTATTGATAGATAATTGTAAGATGGGGATCATGATATCCAAACATGAAACCAACCTTACTAAAGCTTTCAATTGGTTGAGTCAGCCACTACTCATTACAATAACAAAATGGAAGTTTCTAGTAACCAATTTCTATTATCAGAGTAGGTTTTTCATGTTATTTCTGAAATGAGAAACAAAGAACTCAGCCCTGGTTTAATAAATTTCACTCTGGATAATGGAGGTTTGTAGTTGCAACTCAACTAGTAGGGTAGACCTGAAAGACAACCCATAGACAATCAGTTGATTTCAGTCACATATGAAATCAGTCTGTACCTTTCTATAAGATTTCTATTTACATGTCCAACAGGCATACATTCCCCCCAACCCAAAGTAGCAATTTTCTCTTAAAAGGGGGCCTTCATTATCTCAACAATGCTGTCTTTCTAAGCCAATGGTCCTCTACTTTGGCTCAGGGTTAGAACCGCTGTGCAGCTCTTGAAACATAAAGATGCACAGGCCCAACCTAAGAGATTTCAACTCAAGTGTGTATGGGGCTGGGGCAGTGATGTCATCATGATATATGGCCAGACTTGAGGGGCACTATTCTAAGTGAACTCTTATCTTGTACTACACAACTATTTATATTTAAAAAAAACTTAGGTATATCAAATATTGAGATACAGACTTTGCTACTCATCCCCTTGTCACAGTATTCCAAGTACTAGAAAATAGATTTGTATCTAATCATCTAATTAATATAGAGGTATTTATTTCTGTCTCCATGTAAGGATAACTATTAAGAATACAAAATCTGGCTGGGCATGGTGGCTCACGCCTGTAATCCCAGCACTTGGGAAGGCCGAGGTGGGTGGATCACCTGAGGTCAGGAGTTCGAGACCAGCCTGACCAACATGGTAAAACCCCATCTCTAGTAAATACAAAAAATTATCTGGGCATGGTGGCACATTCCTGCAATCTCAGCCACTTGGGAGGCTGAGGCAGGAGAATTGCTTGAATCCGGGAAGACAGAGGTTGCAGTGAGCCAAGATCACGCCACTGCACTCCAGCCTGGGCAACAAGAGCGAAATCCCATTTAAAAATACATATATATGAAATCTGAATTATATATAATGCTAATCAATTCTACTAATAATGGGATAAAAGAAATATGTTTTAGATATCAAAATAAAAATTTAAGATGCATTAAAAATAGTACTAGATTAAAGGATAGTTGAACACCACTGGCATCTACTTCCAAAGACTAGCTCCTGAGCATCCTAGTATGTTTACTCTGGACAAAGAAGTGAGGAAGAACTACTTTGCTTTGGATGAGGAAAAAGGCGAGGTCCCTGGCAACAAATCCTCTCACTGGGAAGACCAAACACACACACATAAACAATCAAGCAACTGCAAAACAGAAGGTAGTGACAACTGCTCTGTCATAATTCTGGCTCAAAGGCTGACCATCTGTGTGACTGGGACTCATTGTCTTCATCCTCTTCATCAGGAAATGAGAGGGTTGAACTGGATGAATGAAGAAGCCTTTCTGGCTCAAAAATTCTGCAAATCTGATTCTTCACAAGAGCTAAACAATAGAGCCAAACTCTCATATACACAAGGAAGAGTGTTTAGAATGGAGTAGAGGAAATCATAGAAAAGCCATTGTAGGGCATTGGATTTGAATTAATTCTCAAAGAAAGTGACAAACATGAATTGAGCAAGAGAAAATGGAAAAACTAAAGGTTCCAAATGATCAATTTAAATACAATATGTCCTACTCAGAAATGACTATCCATCTTACAGAATCAATACCCTTTATTTTCCTGTTTCTAAAGAAGGGCATGAATGGTAAGAAACAATCTTCTCCAATCTCAATTCTTCCTGGTAAAGGAGAATGAAAAATATTCAGGTAAATAGAATTTCCATTTAATTTAAAATTCTATAATATTTTACCTAGTTGGCATTATCTAAATTTAAAACTTGGTAGTTTTACTTGTCTCCAACAGTTGGGGAATAAAATATTAAGATGGTGATTAGCAAGAGAGAAAAATCTAAGAGCATTAATAATAAATTAGATAATAACATATAAAATATGATATATGCCATATAATAGCCACTCAACTAATATGTTTGTTACATAAGTTTTTAAAAAATAAAAATTTTCTTTGTTGAAAGAATAAATTAATCAATGTTCACAATTACAATATTAATGGTTTTCAAAGGACTTAAATATATAATATTTATTTGATCTTCAGAACCATCAACAATGCAATAAAGAAAAAAACTTAGCTCAGTTTTACTGATGAGAAAACAGTCTCAGAGATAGATATTCAGTTGGAAACAGGATGATAAAATCCTCTGCAGCTCAGCTAGTTTCACATCCCACCCAGTGTAGAAACGTCTATCGCAATACTCAGCCTTTCTCCAAAATTTCAAGGATTGCTACTTCACAAGGGAACAACTTTTATTCTTGGTCAGGTTGGTGCATTAACAAGTTATTCTTTTTTTTTTAAACATAAATCTGCTATCAAGTCATTTATAACTACTCTTAGTTCTGCCCTTTGTAGGTAGAAATGTACACTTTACCTTTTCTATAAGACAACTGTTCAAACTATTGAAGAGGGATATTTTTCCAATAATTTACAATCAAGCAATAATATTATCTCCATAACTGAATGCTTTTAACAAATAATATTATAGTAACAGAAGAACCTGAGAATGTTGCTTCAAATTTCTGTACATGCCACAGTTTTCCAAAAATATTGGGGGCAATATTGCCACTTAAAAGTCCAAATACTTGAAGCCTTCCTGACGAATAAAATGATTCTCATTAGTGTCTCTGGGACAGAAGTACTCTCACCAAGTTTTACTCTGCACTAGAGAAGTGTTTAAAAGCAAAGGATCAAAAATCAGGGTGCCTGGGTCCACCACTAATGATGTGGATCCTGGGCAAGTTAATCTTTGTCAGATTCTTCAACTTTAAATGGGAATAACAACAGTCTCTACCTCGTAAGGTGGATGTGGAAATAAATGAAATCAAGACAGGAAAGCACAGTGTCTGATATAGAATAAGAGCTCATTCACACTGGCAATTATTATTACATTAAGTGTTATTGCAGTAAGCACTTTTTTAAAACACGCTATAAATAAATCATAAGGAGGCTGGTGAGGGCAGTATCCTTTCAGTGATCTCTATATGAAAAACCAGACAATAAGTATGTTTCTAGACTAAATACAAGGAAAAGTATTGTTTCCTCTGAGTAGCTGTATGTTATTTTTTTTCCTTATAGACAACGAAAAGTATATCCCCCAAAAGTTTTCTTTTGAACGCACATCTACATTCAAAATTGAATAACTGTGTTTGACCCCACAGCCTATACCTATATATTCTGATTTCCCCGGACTTGGGTTTCCTAGTCTACTTATATTTACCATTATTCTGTTTTAATCCTTTTTAAAAAGTATTCTTATAAGCCACCTCAAATATTCTACTGAACCAGGCAGAGGTGTGTGTAAACTCACAAACCAAAAAAAAACAAAAAGAAAAATACATTTTCTACTTGTTACCCATACTTTATTTGCTTACTTCAAGAAAGACTAATACAAATTATGTTGATTGGCAGGAATCTTTATAAAACCTCATAAAACTTAATCAGTGTAAAATATAGTCTTATAAAAAGGAGTATAACTAGTTCTCTTTGTGTTTAAATTTTGAGACTTTTGCATGTTAGCTCTCATACACTTCAATTAA
This sequence comes from Homo sapiens, assembly GCF_000001405.40. Lineage (NCBI taxonomy): Eukaryota > Metazoa > Chordata > Mammalia > Primates > Hominidae > Homo > Homo sapiens. The sequence continues at coordinate 114,935,317 of NC_000007.14, read as the reverse complement.
ATATTTGATAATAATCTATGACAGAGCATTTATAATCTGCATATTATGTATATTGTTATTGGTGATAAGCAATTTGTATTCATACCTCCCTTATGTATAACAAACTTGCTTTAAACAATTTCATATTTACTCTTCCATTAAAAAACCAGCATTATTACAGATGATCGATATGTATTCTAGTTTATGAAATTTCAAGTAATCTGAGACTAAAATCTCTGGGAAAAGTAACAAAAAAAACTAGGTCTGTATTTTCCCAGCAGTTCAGAATAATGTGGAAATTCTGCTAATGTTTCCCAACTGTAACCTTTAAAAAACCAAAGATAAGGCAGCTTTCAGGAAGACCTGAGGCTCTGGAATTTTACTTCTTCACTGATCCAAAAACAAAAAAAACAAAAAAACCCTCAAGCCTAATGACCTTTAAGGAACATTGCAAAACCAACCTACTTTGCCTAACATTCTAAAATGGATTAAAAATGCATTGTCCAAAAATACACATTAAGATAACCAAAGCATTTAAACAGATGAGTGAACATATGCATAAAACTTCAAGATTGTGCAAACACAAGGAAGTTATATAATCATACACTATAAATGTTTGTTGAGTAAATCAAATGCTAAAATCAACGTAATTTAATTCATTGTTATCAGTATTCTGAAAAATAATAAGACTTCTGAGCAAGATCTAAAATATATTCCTTTGAAGGGCTTCTTATGTATTTAGAAGCTTATGGTATATTTAGACCCAAAAGAATGGTGGGAAAATGATACTGACTCAATCACTTTATAGGTTTGGGATAGGTGAAAGGAATGGAGTATGTACACAGCAAATTAGAAAACAAATTACAAAATTATATGAAAATCCAATTGAGTATAAATATGCGAAGGAATAGGTATAAAGTGCAGCAATCATTTAAAATATATCTCAATAAATCAGGGCTCTAAATTCATGAAGGGAGAAGGAAGAATCCTGTACTTCCACTTAAGAAAATAAGTGCTTGGATAACAGCAATCTGATATGAGGAACCAGGACACATCTTAGTCATCTTAGTCTCTTGCACCTTTTTCATCTAAACTTACTGTACCTTACCCCAACAATAAATGTTTAGGATGATTGACCTTGAGGCACAGCAAACTCCTTCCTTCTCACATACAGTTTCAGCTATGTTTATTCAGCCAAACAATATGTTCATACTAAAGCCAAACATTCATAGGCTTATGAAATCTGGAGTTAGATGTGCTCTCACAGGTCCCTCTGAGAAGCTGATAAAATAAATTCAGATGAAAACATTCGACGTCCAACATTCCCAAGAACAGGCCAAGGACTGTAGGTATGAATACTTACAGGGATAGAGAAACAGCCTCAGAAAATAGCTTATTCCACTTTCAGAGTTTTAATTATTCGGACCATCCTCACATTTGGCTAAAATCTACTTCCCTAAAATTTTCACTGATTCATCACATTTTGCTTTTTGCAAAATCAAAGTAAAAAAATCAAAGTCTAATCTTCTCTCCATGTGACAGTGCCATATTAGAAAGTATCTCATGTTCTTCTGTCTTCTCTGTGCTAAATATGCTCAGTTGATTCAGTGGCTTTTCAGAGGCATCACATTCTAATCACTCTTATAGACGCAATAGCCTTCTTAATCTTGTCGAGAAAACTATCATGAAAGAGGTTGTCTGATTGCCAAAATCCAGAGACACCATATCTATAGCAGGTCCCTTAACTGGCAGTCTATTAACTCCATTATAAAAAGGAATGGAGGCTGGGCACAGTGGCTCACACCTGTAATCCCAGCACTTTGAGAGGCCGAGGCAGGTGGATCACAAGGTTCAGAATTCAAGACCAGCCTGACCAACATGGTGAAATCCCTTCTCTACTAAAAATACAAAAATTAGCTGGGCATGGTGGCCCATGCCTGTAATCCCAGCTACTCAGGAGGCTGAAGCAGGAGAATCGCTTGAACCTGGGAGGCGGAGGCTGCAGTGAGCCGAGATCACGCCATTGCACTCCAGCCTGCATGACAGAGTGAGACTCCGTCTCAAAAGGAAAAAAAAAAAAAAAAAGAATGGAACACTCTATCATCTTCCCCTTTTTAAATGATGATTCACACCCATCTTTAGTCTTTCAGCATGATAACTTGCATATGCACCACAGTTTTAAAAACCTTTTTGTTACCTCTCAGTTATACAGAGTTATTTTATGAAGAACATTTTTAGTCTCAAGCTCTCTAGTTAAGCAAAGAACCCTTACTTGGCACTATTACAAGAATGAAGGCTAGTGGAAATCAAAATTGAATCAAAGGGGGTTGTTTAATCTGTAAGAGCATTTCAGAGTTATGCTTTGAGTCTGATATTGAATTAAATAAATAGAGGACAGAGAAGAGCTTTCCAAATAGTGGCAAAGGCACAAATAAGATAATTGTAAGTGAATTTGAAGTATACTGAAATTGAATTCTGGGACTTCAGAATGGTAGATATGAAATTGAAATCAGAAGGTGTGTCATCTGTCAATTTTTGTAAAGGCCCAAATCAGGAACTTATAAACTTCACTAACTCAGCCTCTCAATTTCTGGGTCCTCCCCACCCTTGCTGTAGAGCAATGAGTTCTTCGGATTCTCCTCTAAGACCACAACCTATATTCTTTTGGCTCTACCATCTTTGCAGTCTCATCAACTTCCACAGTTTCAGTAAATTGCAGGGAGATAACTTGTAGATCCATTTTACTAGCCCTGACACCTATCTTGAGCTACAGATTTGAAGTTTTAACTCTACATAAATATATCTTTAGCAACTCAGACTCAACATTTCCCAAAATTCATCACCACTTTTCTTCTCTTCCTGTCTGTTTCTATAACTGTTGTCTGTGTCTTAGCTAATAGTAGTTACAGAATCACCTTCAACTCTTTATTTTCTTTTTATGTCGCCTATTCCAAAATAATCAATTACCAGATCCTGCTAGTAACAACTCCCCAATTTCTCGCAAATCTATAGTTTCTTTTCCACACCCACTACCAGTGCCTCAGTCTCTTTACCCTCCAATCAAAAATACTTTCCTAACACCAAGATCAAATATGTTACTCCTTAGCTGAAGTATGAATTATATCCATTTTGCATATTGGTGAAAAACTGATAGAGTTATTTGAACATAGATATTTTAGAATATTTTATATTGTAAACTCCTATACTTTCCCACGCTTAATAATTTTATCTTGTATCCCCATGAGAAATAAATAGTACAACCCCTCAGATCTTATGTATTGCCTGAGTAATGAAAGAAATAAGAACTATGTTTATAGAAACCCAAAAGCAGCGTCTGCGTTTACAAACACCCGAAAGATCAGGGCGGATTCACCTTGAAAAAGAGTAGGAGGACTATGCCTCGGAGTGGCAAAAGTAAAGAGAGGAAGCTGGTTCCTTCATACTCTGCCACCTAGTTTCAGAGAGCCTGTCACCTGCTCGACCACAAGATACCTTAGTTTCAAGGCTCAACACGGCATAATTCTCACCAAAAAACCCTACAAACGGTATATTCTTCAACTATGGACACTAGCAGTCCAACTTAGACAAAACTGATTCCTTCTCGCCATCCTGAAATCCTCTCTCAACCTCTAAATTTTCCTGCTCCAGGATGATACCAGTTAGTTGGCATCTGGCCATAAATTAATCTGTCACATGGCTATTATTTTAATCTTGAATTGATATTTCAGTAAGAGACTGAAATTTAATTTGGTAAACATTTGTGTCTTATCCTTTCTCATCCTGTTGAGAAATTCATTGTGGGCAAAACTATACATTCTTAATTTTCGCAGGACCTTGTAGGCACACCGAAAAATATTTGTGGGCAGGGTTTTCCCCTTCAAATCTCTCCATAGTAAAATATATGTGCTAGCATAAAAATTAATTTCAGACTTTATTCCTGAAACTACCAAAAATTGGGCATAAAAGCACATGTATATGAATCATCTCACTTGAGATCATGTGGGCGTGAATCTGAAAACAGAAGTAGACTGTAAGTAAAAACCACAAACGAAATTAAATTCATGTTAAAATAACTCTTCTCATAGTTTCTACTTAGCAAACCCTAAGTGATTAGAAGAAGAATCTATAAAATATAACTAGACTTCAAAAACTTAAGGTTAAAAAGCTTTCCTCCTTCAGGACATGTAGGCTAATGTAAAAAGTAGATATTAAAAGTTTAAGTAACTTCAATAAAGTGTTACTGGAAAGACAAAGAGAGAGAGAGAGGGAGGAGGAAAAGGGGACGGAGGGAGAGAGAGAGATCAAGTATCCAAAATA